>NC_000007.14:144609894-144761410 GCF_000001405.40 Homo sapiens
TCGTCCAGTTAGCAAGGAGAAAAACAGCTTTGGAGTTTAGGATTAAAGGTACGAATTAGGTACAAATTTGGAGTTTAGGATTAAAGGTACAAATTAATGAATGGCACAGAAGTGGTAAGTGAAGGTCACAGAAACAAGATAAAGAGGAGAAAAGCAGGTATGTCAGAATGTCAGCACAGGCAATGCCCAAGAGAAAATGAGAGGCTGAAGGAGACCAGGACAGAGACTGACAGGCAAGAAGAAGAGGCAGGAATACATAGGTTAGTACTTCTAGAGTTAATCCTGATAAAAACATATCTAGTGGCAGTTCTACCTTTGATAGAGTCTTACCATATTTTGAAATTTATCCCTTGGGAAAGTGGGAAAGTTGAGAGCATCTGGGCTGTCTCCATAGTTTAAAGACCATCAAATGTCTACCTAAGATTTTCTACCAGGCATAATTTTCATGTAAAACAGTTGTCTAAATATGCATCAGAAACTCACAATTTAAAATTTCCTGAGGAAATATTTTAAAGGTGGGAGAGTCCACAAAAGGCATTGTTTTTTTTTTGTTTTTTGTTTTTTGTTTTTTTGCCTAAGTACTAAGAAGCACTTGCCTTTATTCTATATTACTGTGAGCCATTCACTAAAAGATTACACCTGTTCTAGGGTAATAGCATATTTGAAACAGTGAATATATTTTCTCAATGAAATGTTGTGTTTTGGAATAATTTTAGATTTACTAAAAAGTTCCAAAAATAGTACAAGGAGTATACTCTTCATCCAGTTTTCAGCAGTGTTAACATCTTGTCTAAACACAGTACATAGGATACAACTAAGACTGACATTGGTCACTACTATTAACTAAACTTTCAAGCTTATTCAGATTTCAACAGCTTTCCCTAATGTCCTATTTTTCCACTACACAACAGAAATCAGGTTACCATACTGCAGTTAGTTGTCATGTCTTCTTCATCTCCTCTGGCCATAACAATTTCTCAGTCTTTCTCTGTTGGCCTTAAAAATGTTGGTCAGGCATTTGATGGAATATTCTTCAACTTGGAGTTCTTTGACTACTTTAAAGGTTAAAGTGGAATTGTGGATTTTAGAGAAGAACTCCACAAGTGCCCTTCTCAACTTATATCCATGTAGGAGGGCATTACTAGTATGATATAACGATGTTATTAATGTTTTTCACTTGATTAATGTGGTATCTGCCAGGATTCTCCACTATAAAGATTTTTTCCTTTTCAGAATACATTTTTACACATACACACACATATATTTTCCTTTAGATCATGCCAAAGATACCAGTTCATGAAAGCAGGCTGTACTGAGACACCAGAGTACCTGGAAAGATATCTCTTGGGGTACTATCATGGTTTTTCCTGCAACCCAATGAGTCACATCTTTTTATGCTGCTGAGTAATTAGTCCAATCAGACAGTTAGCCTTAAATTGTATTTTCAATGGAGGAGAATGTTCATATTTAGTATGAAAATAAAACAAATCCACCAGTCCATTGCAGAAAAGTAATGTACACCTAAATCCAATACTGATAATTAGAAGATAAAACAAAATATTCTAAGCTCATAGAATTTGCTGCTGTATAAAGATAATGTATCTATCTGAGAAATGCCATGTAGACATTAAATAGAAAGACTGTTCTTAACAGAGTCCTAATGGTCAAGAGTTAATAACTTCAATTTGGACATACTCAAATTATACAGAAATGTCTTAAAATATGTAAATCACAATTCAGTACTTGCCCAGCCTATTAAGAAAATAAAAAAGAATAATATGTAATAAACCTATGGCCTTCAGTATTATTTAATTCAGTCATTTATGTGTGTGTGTAGCTGTATGTATATATATATATACACACACACATATATATATAATATAAGCATTTGCCCTCATTCATATAACCTACTCACCATCCTTCATTATTTGATTTAAAAACTGCTTAAGAAATTACATGGCATAATATAAGCTGGCTAAAATGTACTGAGGTTTTAGCAAATAAAACTAGTATTGGTTTAAATCTCTAAAGCATTCAGATTGAAATTAATGGAAACTTTTCTGCTCAGATTTTGTCTAATATATAGTCTATGTTTAAAATTGAAGTAACTGATTCTGTTGCCATATAATACTAGTAAATATCCTAAAGAGACCTATCCTGTTATTCTTAGGGCCTCATAATCTTAATTTATTTCTGCTTTATTGTAAAGAACATGCATCTTATATGTTTAGATGTTTAGAGAGACAGCTTTTAATGTTTTCCACCAAATCCCAGGGTTTAGATCTCAAGTGTGTATCACAGCATCCGAAAATATATGTGTCCTTTGAAGACTCAGACATATCAGATGGCATCCTGATAATGTAGTATTCATGACTCAGTTACAGATAAACAATGTGGCAACATGAAAGCAAAGCCTTAAAAAGTCCCAGGTATGAGAGAATCCTTTTGTGGAAGAGTAAATGTTAAGGGTGATTGGGTTTCAATTAGATGGATACATGAACTAAAAAGGTAATTTAGGGGAATTTAAAAAAAGTAATCTCATGTTCTAGATAGTAAACTCCTTTAGGATCAGGACAGACCTAATTCAAATTCTATGAATTTCTAACATATAGTTCTTTAATATATTAAATACTATTTTGCATTTTATTTACATTACAATTAACATTTTATAGTAAGAGGCCTATTATAAAATATACTTTGATTATAAATTCATATTTATAATTTAATAAGTAGAAATAAAAAATATATAATAATTTGATATGATTTATTAGATGGAGAAGAGGCATATAAAGATTTGATACAGTTTATGTGTATTATCAGGAGAAATTTTAAAAAGGCTTCATGATCTCATATGGAGACAGGAGTATGGGTGGAGGGAAATCTTGTATTATTTTCCCTTCTAATGTTGCTTTTCTCTTGCTATAACATCAAATAAAATACAGTGTTGACCTTCCAAGTTAAATGTAAAGTCAGGTGGAAGCTCACAGATACTCCACTTCCTCAGATTTAATATAATCACTCTGCCCACTTTTTAATGGGGTTGTTTTTCTCATGTAAATCTGTTTAAATTCCTTATAGATGCTGAATATTAGACCTTTATCAGATGCACAGATTGCAAAAATTTTCTCCCATTCTGTAGGTTGTCTGTTTACTGTTTATAGTTTCTATTGCTGTGCAGAAGCTCTTTAGTTTAATTACATACCATTTGTCAATTTTTGCTTTTGTTCCAATTGCTTTTGGTGTCTTCATCATGAAATCTTTGCCCGTGCCTATTTCCTGAATGGCATTGCCTAGGTTTTCTTCTAGAGTTTTGAGAGTTTTGGGTGTTACATTTAAGTCTTTCATCTATCTCGAGTTGACTTTTGTATATGGTGTAAGGAAGTGGTCCAGTTTCTGTTTTCTGTATATGACTAGCCAGTTCTCCCAGCACCATTTACTAAACAGGGAATCTTTCCCCCATTGCTTGTTTTTGTCAGGTTTGTCAAAAATCAGATGGTTATAGGTGTGTGGTCTTATTTCTGGGTTCTCTGTTCTGCTCCATTGGTCTATCTGTCTTTTCTTGTACTGCAGCCCTGTGGTATAGTTTGAAGTCGGGTAGCGTGATACCTCCAAGCTCTGTTGTTTTTGCTTAGGATTGCCTTGGTTATTTGGGCTGTTTTTTTGGTTCCATATTAATTTTAAATTAGTTTTTTTCTACTTCTGTGAAGAATGTGTTGGTAGTTTTATTATTCAATTATTCAATGGGAACAGCATTGAATCTATTAATTACTTTGGGCAGTATAGCCATTTTCATGATATTGATTCTTCCTGTCCATGAGCATGGAATGTTTTTCCATTTGTTTGGGTCATCTCTGATTTCTTAGAGCCGTGGTTTGTAGTTCTCCTTGAAGAAGTCCTTCACTTTCCTCATTAGCTGTATTCCTAGGTATTTTATTCTTTTTGTGGCAATTATGAGTGGGGAGTTCATTCATGGTTTGCTCTCAGCTTGCCTGTTGTTGGTGTATAGGAATGCTACTGATTTTTGCACATTGATTTTGTATCCTGAGACTTTGCCGAAGCTGCTTATCAGCTTAAGAAGCTTTTAGGCTGAGACAATGGGGTTTTCTAGATATAGGATCAGGTCATCTGCAAACAAAGATAGTTGGACTTCCTCTCTTCCTAGTTGAATAGCCTTTATTTCTTTCTCTTGCCCGACAGGCCTGCCTACAACTTCCAATACTATGTTGAATAGGAGCGCTGAGAGAGGGCATCCTTGTCTTGTTATAAAATAACTCTTATCTTTCGGGGAGGTACCAAGATGGCCGAATAGGAACAGCTCCAGTCTACAGCTCCCAGCCTGAGCGATGCAGAAGACGGGTGATTTCTGCATTTCCAACGGAGGTACTGGGTTCATCTCACTGGGGCTTGTTGGACAGTGGGTGCAGGACAATGGGTGCAGTCCACGGACTATGAGCCAAAGCAGGGCGATGCATCACCTCACCCGGGAAGTGCAAGAGGTCGGGGAATTACATTTCCTAGCCAAGGGAAGCCGTGATAGACGGCACCTGGAAAATCAGTCACTCCCACCCTAATACTGCGCTTTTCCAATGGTCTTAGCAAACGGCACACCAGGAGATTACATACCATGCCTGGCTCAGAGGGTCCTATGCCCACAGCAGTCTGAGATTGAACTGGAAGGTGGCAGCGAGGCTGGGTGGGGGTCCGGGGAGGGCACCCGCCATTGCTGAGGCTTGAGTAGGTAAACAAAGCGGCCCGGAAGCTCCAACTGGGTGGAGCCCACCACAGCTCAAGGAGGCCTGCCTGCCTGTGTAAACTCCACCTCTGGGGGCAGGGCATAGCTGAACAAAAGGCAGCAGAAACTTCTCCAGACTTAAACATTCCTGTCTGACAGCTTTGAAGAGAGTAGTGGTTCTCCCAGGATGGAGTTTGAGATCTGAGAACAGACAGACTGCCTCCTCAAGTGGGTTCCTGACCCCCCAGTCGCCTAACTAGGAGGCACCTCCCGGTAGGGGTCGACTGACACCTCATATGGCTCAGTGCCCCTGAGACGAAGCTTCCAGAAGAATGATCAGGCAGCAACATTTGCCGTTCTGTAATATTTGTGGCTCTGCAGCCTTTGCTGGTGGTACCTAGGCAAACAGGGTCTGGAGTGGGCCTCCAGCAAACTCCAACAGACCTGCAGCTGAGGGTACGGACTGTTAGAAGGAAAACTAACAAACAGAAAGGACAGCCACATCAAAACCCCATCTGTACGTCACCATCATCAAAGACCAAAGGTAGATAAAACCACAAAGATGGAGAGGAACCAGAACAGAAAAGCTGAAAATTCTAAAAATCAGAGCGCCTCTTCTCCTCCAAAGGAATGCAGCTCCTCGCCAGCAACAGAACAAAGCTGGATGGAGAATGACTTTGACGAGTTAAGAGAAGAAGGCTTTAGAAGATCGGTAATAATAAACTTCTCTGAGCTAAAGGAGGATGTTCGAACCCATCGCAAAGAAGCTAAAAACCTTGAAAAAAGATGGGACGAATGGCTAACTAGAATAAACAGCGTAGAGAAGACCTTAAATGACCTGATGGAGCTGAAAACCATGGCACGAGAACTACACGATGCATGCACAAGCTTCAGAGAAAGCAAGAAAGATCTAAAATTGACACCCTAACATCACAATTAAAAGATCTAGAGAAGCAAGAGTAAACACATTCAAAAGCTAGCAGAAGGCAAGAAATAACTAAGATCAGAGCAGAACTGAAGGAAATAGAGACACAAAAAAACCCTTCAAAAAATCATGAATGCAGGAGCTGGTTTTTTGAAAAGATCGACAAAATTGATAGACCGCTAGCAAGACTAATAAAGAAGAAAAGACAGAAGAATCAAATAGACGCAATAAAAAATGATAAAGGGGATATCACCACCGATCCCACAGAGATACAAACTGCCATCAGAGAATACTATAAACACCTCTACGCAAATAAACTAGAAAATCTAGAAGAAATGGATAAATTCCTGGACACATAGACACTCCCAAGACTAAACTAGGAAGAAGTTGAATCCCTGAATAGACCAATAACAGGCTCTGAAATTGAGGCAATAATTAAGAGCCTACCAACCAAAAAAAGTCCAGGACCAGATGTATTCACAGCCAATTTCTACCAGAGGTACAAAGAGGAGCTAGTACCGTTCCTTCTGAAACTATTCCAATCAACAGAAAAAGAGGGAATCCTCCCTAACTCATTTTATGAGGCCAGCATCATCCTGATACCAAAGCCTGGCAGAGACACAACAAAAAAAAAGATAATTTTAGACCAATCTCCCTGATGAACATCGATGCAAAAATCCTCAATAAAACATTGGCAAACTGAATCCAGCAGCACATCAAAAAGCTTATCCACCATGATCAAGTTGGCTTCATCCCTGGGATGCAAGGCTGCTTCAACATATGCAAATCAATAAACATAAGCCATCATATAAACAGAACCAAAGACAAAAACCACATGATTATCTCAATAGATGCAGAAAAGGCCTTTGACAAAATTCAACAGCGCTTCATGCTAAAAACTCTCAATAAATTAGGTATTGATGGGACATATCTCAAAATAATAAGAGCTATTTATGACAAACCCACAGCCAATATCATACTGAATGGGCAAACACTGGAAGCATTCCCTTTGAAAACTGGCCCAAGACATGGATGCCTTCTCTCACCACTCCTATTCAACATAGTGATGGAAGTTCTGGCCAGGGCAATTAGGCAGGAGAAAGAAATAAAAGGTATTCAATTAGGAAAAGAGGAAGTCAAATTGTCCCTGTTTGCAGATGACATGATTGTATATTTAGAAAACCCCATCATCTCAGCCCAAAATCTCCTTAAGCTGATAAGCAACCTCAGCAAAGTCTCAGGATACAAAATCAATGTGCAAAAATCACAAGCATTCCTATACACCAATAACAGACAAACAGAGAGCCAAATCATGTGTGAACTCCCATTCATAATTGCTTCAAAGAAAATAAAATACCTAGGAATCCAACTTACAAGGGATGTGAAGGACCTCTTCAAGGAGAACTACAAACCACTGCTCAATGAAATAAAAGAGGACAAAAAGAAATGGAACAACATTCCATGCTCATGGATAGGAAGAATCAATATCGTGAAAATGGCCATACTGTCCAAGGTAATTTGTAGATTCAATGCCATCCCCATCAAGCTACCAATGACTTTCTTCACAGAATTGGAAAAAACTACTTTAAAGTTCATATGGAACCAAAAAAGAGCCTGCATTGCCAAGACAATCCTAAGCCAAAAGAACAAAGCTGGAGGCATCATGCTATCTGACTTCAAACTACACTACAAGGCTACAATAATCAAAACAGCATGGTACTGGTACCAAAACGGAGATATAGACCAATGGAACAGAACAGAGCCCTCAGAAATAATACCACACATCTACAACCATCTGATCTTTGATAAACCTGACAAAAACAAGCAATAGGTAAAGGATTCCCTATTTAATAAATGCTGCTAGGAAAACTGGCTAGCCATATGTAGAAAGCTGAAACTGGATCCCTTACTTACATCTTATACAAAAATTAATTCGAGATGGATTAAAGACTTAAATGTCAGACCTAAAACCATAAAAACCCTAGAAGAAAACCTAGGCATTGCCATTCAGGACATAGGCATGGGCAAGGACTTCATGTCTAAAACACCAAAAGCAATGGCAACAAAAGCCAAAATTGACAAATGGGATCTAATTAAACTAAAGAGCTTCTGCACAGCAAAAGAAACTACCATCAGAGCAAACAGGCAACCTACGGAATGGCAGAAAATTTTTGCAATCTACCCATCTGACAAAGGGCTAATATCCAGAATCTACAAAGAACTTAAACAAATTTACAAGAAAAAAATCAAACAACCCATCAACAAGTGGGCAAAGGATATGAACAGACACTTCTCATAAGAAGACATTTATGCAGCTAACAGACAGATGAAAAAATGCTCATCATCACTGGCCATCAGAGAAATGCAAATCAAGACCACAATGAGAGACCATCTCACACCAGTTAGAATGGCAATCATTAAAAAGTGAGGAAACAACAGGTACTGGAGAGGATGTGGAGAAATAGGAACACTTTTACACTGCTGGTGGGACTGTAAACTAGTTCAACCAGTGTGGAAGACAGTGTGGCGATTCCTCAAGAATCTAGAACTAGAAATACCATTTGACCCAGTCATCCCATTACTGAGTATAAAGGATTATAAATCATGCTGCTATCAAGACACATGCACACGTATGTTTATTGCGGCACTATTCACAATAGCAAAGACTTGGAACCAACCCAAATGTCCATCAGTGATAGACTAGATTAAGAAAATGTAGCACATATACACCATGGAATACTATGCAGCCATAGAAAAGGATGAGTTCATGTCCTTTGTAGGGACATGGATAAAGCTGGAAACCATCATTCTGAGCAAACTATCCCAAGGACAGAAAACCAAACACCGCATGTTCTTACTCATAGGTGGGAATTGAACAATGAGAACACTTGGACACAGGGTGGGGAACACCACACACCGGGGCCTGTCGTGGGGTGGGGGTAGTGGGGAGGGATAGCATTAGGAGATATACCTAATGTAAATGACGAGTTAATGGGTGCAGTGCACCAACATGGCACAACTATACATATGTAACAAACCTGCACATTGTGCACATGTACCCTAGAACTTAAAGTATAAAAAAAAAACAAAAATAAAAAATACAATAAAATAACTCTTATCTTTCAAGCCTCTGCAAGTAAGTTAGATGCTTCTTCACAATGTACTATTCTTTGTCCAATGTAGTATATAAAGCAACAGGCTTTAAGTACTTCTCTGGGTCTTCACTTCTTTATGTGGGCTCCCATGCCATGTAAAATTTGTATGAAATAAAATTTTATGCTTTGTTCTTGTTAATCTATCTCAGGTCAATTTAATTCTCAAGGCCCAGTCAGGACCCTACGAGGATGGAGATAGGAGTTGTGCCCACTCCTACAAAGTGCTATACACACTCTGTGTGCACTACAGTACTTCCTGAAACACTCTTCTCCCCTTTGCTGTCTGATATAGTCTGGATGTTTGTCCCCTCCAAATCTCATGTTGAAATGTGATCCCCAATTTCTGCAGTGGAGCCTGGTGGGAGGTGTTTGGGACATGGGGGTGGATCCCTCATGAATAGCTTAGTGCCACCTTTGTGCTAATGAGTAAGTTCTCACTCTATTAGTTCACAAGAGAACTGGTTCTTTTTTTTTTTTTTTTTTCTGAGGTGGAGTCTTGCTCTGTTGCCCAGGCTGGAGGGCAGTGGTGCGATCTCAGCTCACTGCAACCTCCGCTATAGGATATCGGTCAGGGTGGTGGGAGATTATAAAGTTATAGGAAACAGACACAAACCTTCTTGGAAGGCCAGTGGGTTTGCATAGCTTCAGTGAAGGATTTGGCTGAAGGCAACTGAATTCTCTTAAAAGCTTAGGGCAAAGATACATAGGAATGTAAAGGAGTTTATCTAAATAGCTTTTTTACTCATGTGGTCCTAAGACCAACCTTTGATCATCTGTGGGCTCATGACTGCTCTCTACTCAGGAGATCAACAATGTAAATTACCCTCTAGTGGTGTTTACTTGAGAACTTTGTCATTTAATTTGTACTAAATAAACGCAAACTTTGCCATTTTATGGAGGCGAAAGCTGCAGACTCAGGCGTCAGAGCCCCTTAGTCCCACTGACAGGCAAAATACCTGTGTCAGTGTATGTCTTTCATCTGTTGCTGGGTCAGGGTCTGCGGGTTGGACCCGGCACTCTGCCTCCTGGGTTCAAGTGATTCTCCCTCCTCAGCCTCCCAAGTAGCTGGGACTACAGGTGTGTGCCATCACCCCAGCTAATTTTTTTATTTTTAGTAGAGATGGGGTTTCACCATGTTAGCCAGGATGGTCTCGATCTCCTGACCTCGTGATCTGCCCACCACAACCTCCCAAAGTGCTGGGATTATAGGTGTGAGCCACCATGCTGGGCCAAGAGAACTGGTTCTTACGAAGAGCCTGTCATCTTTCTCGCTCCCTTCTTGCCATGTGACAGGCCTGCTGCCCCTTCACCTTTTGCCATGAGTAAAAGCTTCCTGAGGGGTCATGAGAAGCCAAATAGATTCTGATGCCATGCTCGTACAGCCAGCATAGGCATACACCAAATACAACTCTTACCTTTATAAATTACCCAGCCTCAGGTATTCCTTTATAGCAATGCAAAATGGACTAATGCACTGTCTACCTCCTATTTGCTTACTATGTCTCAGCCTTCTCTAAAAAGCCTTCTCCTAACTGTGTTATGTTCCACTCTCCTGTGTGTTCTTGTGGTGCATAAAACGTACCAAACTTTCAAGGAATACTTCTTTTATGCAAAATACTGCTGTCAAGTTATGAACAAGCAAACCTGAGCTCAGCTTCATGGGCTGTACAGTCAAGCTGGCAAGAATGACTTTAGGCAAACAATTAGAAACAATTAGTAAAATGATCAAAATTGTTCAGAATACCCTAAAGAAAAAATAAAGGAGGGTATGGAAATGTAGAGTAACTAAACCTAACCTAGAGTGATAGTTAAGGACAGCCAGTCAAACTCTGCCATGCCCACTATTCTAAGTGAAGTAACTCAGAAATGGAAAACCAAATACTGCATTTTCTCACTTATAAGTGGGAGCTAACCTAAGAGTGTGCAAAGGCATAGTGATACAATGGACACAGAAGACTCAGAAGAGGAGAGGGTGGGAGGGGGTTGAGGGATGAAAAACTACCTATTGGGTACAATGTACACTACACTGGGGTAACAGGTGCACTCAACTCTCGGACTTCAATAATGTACAATTCATCCATGTAACCAAAAACCACATGTACCCCAAAACCCATTGAAATAAAAAATATATAAAAATAAATAAATGTATCAGACCTGAAAAAAAAAAAAAAAGAAAAAGAAGCCCTCTAGCATGCATGGTCTAGACAAAGAAAAGGAAAAATAAGATTCCAAGCAGAGGGGGCAACATATATAAAAACACATTAAAGTAGGAGGGAGGAGAAAATGCGGCATAGTTTAAGAACAAGGAGAAACACTGGTGTAGGATGGGGCTGGAGAATGCATTGGGTCCAAAGCATGTTGGGGCCTGAGGCAGCACAGGCAGTGTACCACTGCATTGCTCTTCAAAAAAGAACTCACTGTTAGGCTGTGTGGAGGCCAGTCATCCGTCATCAGCCCCCGCTGCAACCCCTTCAGGAGGCAGCACATCACAGCCACCAAGTCTGTACTCTTCCTTGGCAACCTCTAAGCCAAGTCCACCCTCCTCATGAGCACCCTCTAGTCTGTGACTAAGCACAGTTGGAGTACAAGGTTGTTGCTATTTCTGCCCAGTGCAGGGGCCCTCTAACAGCTACTCTTGCTTCCAGAGTCCCCACCAGATTGGCCAAGACTGTCAGATTTGTTTGCAGATCATACCCTCCTCTCTCAGTTTGGGGCTCTCTCTAGATCTGGGCCTTGTTGAGTTTAAGATATGATGATTTGTTTCAAGCCTCAACGACAGAATACTGTATTACTGATACTATCGATTAGACACAACTCATTAGACTCACATAATTGCGTCTTAGCTTTTAATCATGTCAGTGGAGGTGATGGGAAAAACAAAAGACAGCTGTGAATATTTACACTGTTTTTCCAAAGAAACACCAAATCACTGATATCTGGATGAAATAAGTAACTCTCAATTTGCTGTTTCCTGCTTTCATTAAACAAATACTTAATTATATCAATTTACTGCTGGAAATATCACAATACATTTGATATAGATCAGCAAAGCTACATCAGAGATGAGAAATGTTCACTCAATTATTTTTGTTTGAGTTCGCAGATTGAGCTACTTGCCAATTGTGATAGTTAGCAAGGTTTTATTTCAAAGGGAGAAAAGAATTTACTACTAACTGCAACTTAGTAAATATATGCTACAGTGTATCTTTAACAAACTTTTGCTAGAGAGTAAATTTTTGTTAGAGCTGCCACTCTGATATCTATCCCATCCTGCCAAATATGTTTTAGCCACGTAGTTTGAATATATAAGCCACGTGGATTGATCCCACACCTGGCTCCAGCCCAAGACAATCAGGATTCTCTCGTTCTCCTTTGCCAAAAGCAAGAGTGGTTTAATGGAGAGATCTTAAGGGTTAAGTCCAATGATGGTGGGAAGTGATGTATCTCACCAGCTCTATGTCTTAATCCCCCTACATGTGAAGGGTAAAATGTTACTGCAGGTGGCAGTTGGAGACAATCAAGGAAGCTAGTGTGAAGACAAAACCTACAAAGTGAAGCCAAGATAAATAAAAGAAAAAGGGCATGAGTTCTGATTAAGCTCTGTCTCAAGACTGCCCTACATCACTTGGTTATTGAGAGCAGGTTGACATGTGTTTTCTGTTACTTGTACTATCAAAATCGTTCTAATATACAAGGGTGTTTTCCTACTTTTCTTGGTTTAAAATTACACAACTGATCATTCATCTCAGCTTAAAACTTATTGCCCCTGCTAGTGGGGGAAAAAAAGGTCAATTGTCATTCATTGCTTCAGGTTTAATTTTGTAGCTGTTCATTAAACACAGTCTTAAGAAACTTTGCATACCATTTCAACAGGTATCAAACAATAAAGTATAAACTGGTGTACTAATTAATGCAATTAAACATTTGGATGCTAGGTGAAAATCAGTACTGAATACCTTAAAGAGCACAGAATGCAAAGCAGTAGACTCTTCTCTGGCTTAAAAAAAGCTGATATTCGTTTAAATAAAAATTTGCAATGATAGCCCAGGGGCCAAATCAAGGCCATATTTGTTTTGCCTATATAATATGTAAATAGACACAGTCCAAAAATACATATAGCTCTTCATGGCAACAATCAACTAGAGACGAATAGTAGCTAGTCGCTTTCAGGCAAGAATGAGTTCCCAGTTTTGATTACTTGACACACGGTCCAGTTCACCCATTTTATTACCATGCCACTGTAAGATGTTTACATTTGTGTTCCCTGGTTTAAGTGCACATGTTAATGTTTTGGCAGCTAAGTGCAGACTTATCTGCTCTACAGGGGAAAAAAAACCTGACAGCAATTTAAAAAAAAAGAAAAAGCACAAAAGTAAATATCCATTTCAGCTGAGTGAAAAAATAAACACAAATTGTTTTCACATCCTTGGAATAACCACCAAATACATGTATATATTACCTTTAAGTCTTTTTCTTCTATCTTCTTTTGGAGCATTTTAAGGCACTTAGTAAAGTCAGTGTGGTCTTGATCAGGAGTTGAAATGAGCTCACATCCCTATGTATTAAAGTAAAAGAAAAGGTAAGAATAAGTAGTAAATTCACCTTTATGAACAAGATCAAGAGTTACAAAAGTAAAGATAAGGTATCAATAGACATATCCTATTATGCCTTTACTATTCCTGTATCATTAGAATCATTATCATTATCTTTTTTATTTCACATCATGGGACATTTCAGGAATGGTATTAGAGTGTTACAATAATGGACTGATTATGACAATCGTTTTATTTAAGAAAGTATAGATTATACTACATTAATGGGTCTTTAAAAAATACTTATGTGATGACATTCACGATTAACATAAGGACTTTGATACATGTATAATAAATTATATTCTCAACTACCTGAAATTGAAATGAAACTATTTTGATGAAACTTTGAAGTTCTTTAAGCAGAAATGACAAGTTTACATGAATGAAAAAACTAATCTGAATATTGAAGTAATAATAAAAGTTTACATTTTAAGTAAAACCAAGACAGCTGTCCTATAATATTATTTGATAAAAGCCTCTTTCTCCCTTGTGAGACACAGAACAAGGAGCTATGCCTGTGTAAATATGTCTCCTGGATTATCTTTTGGACATCATGAAATGAATTTATAAGTTCTTTGCCTTCTCTACAAGATAACTTACCCAGTGAAAAACACTGCAATATATTTATAAGTATGAAGCCACAAAAGTGCCAGTTTGTTGGCACTAGTGAACTTGGATGGCTAAAGAGACCGTATTTTTGAAATGACACCTTTTCCTCCAATGTCATACAGAGGCAAAGGTACATAAAAGTGAGCACGATGGGACTTCAGACTTCTTAATTCAGGAATAAAACAATTCTTGGACTCTGACAAACAGCTGAGTAAGGGAAAGTTAAATATAATCTAGTATATAAAGTTGCCATTCAAAGAGTTTTCAAGGATACAAAACACCCATACTGCCTCTTAAATTATTCTAAGAACCATTCTCGGTAGATTTAAAGGTTCTTCTTTTACTTCAAGGTCTCTTTAATTGTGTCAAGCTCAACCTGTGCTTCATTCATTTATGACTGTCCTACAATATAGTGACCAATGAAAAAATTAACTTCTCATCATTCAGAAATACATTATGCTCTAAAAGATGTATATGTCATCTTTACAAGATCATCGACATATACTTTCTCGACCCTAAAAGAACATTGACATTTACTATAATCACCAAGCAAGGACATAAAGAAGTGACCCTTCTCAGGTTAACACTCCTAAAAAGGAAGATAGAAGCATATGGCAGGGCATACAGGAATATTAGCATGGTTGAACAGAACAGACTGCCACCAAACCAAAAATCATTACACTGAAAGTTCCTCAAGGGCAGGTTCATTCATTATTGTTTCCAGTGCCAGGCACCAGTTTGTTGCATAGTAAATGTTCAATAAATGTTTAAATAATATTCTTGAGGAAGAAAATGGATTTTTACAAATACACTTATAAAAATGTACACTGGCTAGGGGGTACAATCGTGCAGTATCTTATTGCTAAATATACCATAAATGACAACGAAAGTTGTCTTCCTCTTTTAAATGTTAAAAATAGACATACTCACCAAAAAGGAAATAAAATTTAAATGGCAAATAGAAACTACAACATAATGGACGATTAATAGATCACTATCTACCTTCACAGAATCCATATAGAAAGCCATTGGGAAAAAGACAGTTAAACAAAACCCAGGAAGTAATCTATCTAGTACTATCGCAACATTTTGTAGATTAAGAAAATAAAAACAAGAGATAAAAATTGACTGGCTGACAACTGGACAGCTAGGTAGTAATTAGCAGAAAAGCCATGAGTAGAAATCCTATTTCTTTACTCTCACAAAGTAAAACAAAAGTTCTGAGATAGCTGATTGAAAAATGTCAGATGACATCTCTAGAGTTAGTTTCACAAAAAGGATACTATAAAAAGAAAAGCTACTTGAAACATATGAGCAAGGCCGGAATATCTTACTTTACCTCATCATTTACAATAAACACATAGAAATGCTTGGCTCAGGACACGGAGAGAGATTATTAGCACTGAGAAAATCAGACTGAATCTAAACCAAGAACGTCTATTAAACTCGTTGAAGGTGTTTAACTGCCAAACAGCAGCCATTCACAAGGTGAAATGGTTCTAATCTCATTACAGACTGAGAATGAACTCACTAGAAGTGGAAATAGCTCTAATAACAGGGCAGCGTCCGACAGTTAGAAAGGAGACCCGAGAAACAAAATCTTAACCAAAGTGCAATAACAGGCCTGTGGCCAACTAAGGATGTGTTCACTGTTTTCTGGGTCTTAGGGTAACATACTAAGATCTAAGAGAGGAGAAACAGAAAGGTAAAGATGAGAAACTACTAAGACCCTGCAAACAAGGAATAATGTAGAAATACTATAAGGTATCAAGCAATACTCACCTACTATATATTAATATTTATGATTATTTTTATATAGAATAAAGCCCAATTTCCTAGCATCAGAAGCACTGAGGTGCTGTGAAAAATTCCACTGATATGATATTTTCTTAAAAAAAAAGACAACCCTCATATTCACTAAGGACTGAGAAGATATTAAAGCCATGAAATTTAGCAAAGTAAGAAAGTATATGACTTTCTAATAAGTTGTTTGTAATGTTAGTTTCCTAATAGAAAGGTACAAAACATAGACTTATGATGCCAGTGAGTGGGAATTTTTGTTTCAACTACTTCTATCTTTGATTTTTTTTCTCAGTTACATAAAATATATTGTTTTTAGGATACAATGTATGATGTTATGAACCAACAAGTGGCTCCATTTTTCAGATTATACTTTTGCTTTTTTGGTTTTTTCTTTTTGAGACAGGGTCTCCCTCTGTCCTACAGGATGGAGTGCAATGGCACAATCACAGCTCGCTGCAGCCTTCACCTTCTGGACTCAAGCAATCCTCCCATCTCAGCCTCCCAAGTAGCTGGGACTACAGGCGTGCACCACCATGCTCAGCTAATTTGTGATGGGGTTTTGCCATGTTACCCAGGCTGGTCTCAAATCCCTGGGCTCAAGCAATCCTACAGCCTTGGCCCCCCACAGTGCTGGGATTATAGATGTGAGCCACCACACCTGGCTAATTAGTCTTAAAATATAATTTTTCACATATACATGGAAAGAGTATCAAAGACTCAGAGGGACAGAAAGATAAGAAAAGTTATCTATTGAGTCAATGATATTTTTCGTGGAACTCAAACAAACGATTATGATTTACATGAAAGAATAAGGGACCAAAAAAAAGCAAACGCAATTTTGCAAAAGGACACGGTAGTTGAACTTGCCTTTCGGGATATTCAGATATACAAAGTAATTAACACAACAGGGTACTGGCAAAATGAAACAGTAGAATATCAGCACCACGGAAGCACAGGTATTTGCTTGTGTGATTCACAGCTGTCTTCTAGGAACTAGAACAGTGACTGGCACAAAGAAAGTGTTCTTTGTGCCATATGGTTGGTAAATAGATACCTGAACAGAATTGGGAAGACAGAAATATATACAGATGCATATTTGAAAACGTACTAGCAAAGTCTCCAAACATTTACAAAAAACAACAGAAAAGAAAATGATTGCAGTAGGTAGTATTTTAAACAAGGTGCGAAAATAAATATAAATCTGAAGAGAAAGAACTGATAAATTCAGCTACTTTTAACTAAGACCCTTCTTTCATCAATAAACAATATGCATAAAGTAAAAAAAGAAAGCTTCAAAATGAAAGAAGGTATTTTCCACGAATATAACTAAAAACAAAAGGTTACTATCCAGAATACATAAAGAATTTGTAAAAATCTATAAAGAATGAATAACTGGATGGAAAAACAGGCAAAATATTTTAATAGGCAAGTTAAAGAACAGCAAACCTGAAAAAGCCAATTGTATTAATCTATTTTCATGCTGCTGATAAAGCCATACCCAAGACTGGGCAATTTACAAAAGAAATAGGTTTAATGGGAGTTACAGTTCCACGTGGCTGGGGAGGCTTCATAATCATGGCAGAAGGAAAGGAGGACCAAGCCACATCCTACGTGGATGGCAGCAGGCAAAGAGAGCTTGTTCAGGAAAACTCCCCTTTTTAAAACCATCAGATTTCATGAGACTTATTCACTACCACGAGAAC
This sequence comes from Homo sapiens, assembly GCF_000001405.40. NCBI lineage: Eukaryota > Metazoa > Chordata > Mammalia > Primates > Hominidae > Homo > Homo sapiens. Next base: position 144,627,414 of record NC_000007.14, read on the forward strand.
AGCACAAGAAAGACCTGCCCCCCATGATTTAATTACCTCCCACCAGGTCCCTCCCACAACCCGTGAGAATTCCAAATGAGATTTTGGTGGGGACACAGTCAAACCATATCACCAATACACATGAAAAAGCAAATAGACCTGTAGGATTGCTTGAGCGCAGAAAATGGAGACAAGCCTCGGTAACACAGCAAAAGCCCATCACTACAAAAAAAATTAGCCAAACATGGTGGTGCACACTTTGGAAGGCTGAGGTGGGAGAATTGCTTGGGCCCAGGAGGTCGAGGCTGCAGTGAGCCATGAAAGCAAATACACAAAATATTTTAATAGGCAAGTTAAAGACTAGCAAAACAGAAAAAGCCAATACACATGAAAGGATGTTGATTTTCACCAGTAATCAGATAAGCCCAAATAAAAATCACTGATATACACTTGTCGTACCTTACATTAACAAAAAAACTTGTGGCGTATTTAAACACTGGGTTATTCTATGACAAAAATGAATGAACAACAACAAAAATAATAGAAGAATAAATGTATGATACATTCATGAGTTACAGAATCACACAGGCAGTATAACTGCATATATACACACAATGTAAAAACATGCTTATTACCTTTACATAGGATTTAGTGTTGCTTTTGTTAAAGTATTAACAAATGTAAGAGAATAAAAATTTTTAGATTTAACCATAAGAAAGGGCCACAGAAGTCTTGAACTGTATAGGTAGCATTTATTAAGTTGGGTTGTGGTTACAAAAGTATTTGGTTTATTATTTTTTATACTTGTACATATCTTAAACATTTCTGATATGGCTTGGCTGTGTCCTCATCTTGAATTGTAGTTCCCATAATCCCCAAGTATTGTGGGAGGGACCAGGTGGGAAGTTATTGAATCTTGGGAGCAGTTTCCTCCATTCTGTTGACTCATGATACTGAGTGAGTCTCATGAGATCTGATGGTTTTATAAGCATCTGACATTTCCCCTGCTTGCACTTACTCCATCTCGCCTCCCTATGAAGAAAGTTCCTGTTTATCCTTTGCCATCTGCTACGATTCTAAGTTTCCTGAGGCCTCCCCAGCAACACAAAACTGTGAATCAATTAAAGCTCTTTCTTTTATAAATTACCCAGACTTTGGTATTTCTTCATAGCAGTGTGAGAACAATAATACAGTAAGTACCAGGAGAAGGGTGCTGCTGTAAATATGCCTGAAAATGAAGAAGCAACTTTGGAACTGGGTAACAGACAGAGGTTGGAACCATTTGGAGGACGCAGAAGACAGGGAAGTGTGTGAAAGTTTAGAACTTCCTAGAGACTTGGAGGGTTAAGAAGACAGGAAGATGTGGGGAAGTTTAGAACTTCCTAAAGACTTGTTGAATGGCTTTGACCAAAATGCTGATAGTGATATGAACAATGTAGTCCAGGCTGAGGTGGTCTCAGATGGAGATGAGGAACTTCTTGGGAACTGGAGCAAAGGTGACTCTTGCTATGCTTTAGCAAAGAGACTGGCGGCATTTTGCCCCTGTCACAGAAATACGTGGAACTTTGAACTTGAGAGAGATGACTTAGGATATCTGGCAGAAGAAACTTCTAAGCATTAAAGCATTGAAGAGTAAGCAGAGCATAAAAATTTGGAAAATTCACAGCCTGATGATGCGATAGAAAAGAGAAACACATTTTCTGGAGGAGAAATTCAAGTCGCTGCAGAAATTTGCATAAGTAACAAAGAATGGAATGTTAATCCAAAGACAATGAGGAAAATATCTCCAGGGAATGTCAGAGACCTTCACAGCAGCCCCTCCCAACACAGGCCCAGTGGCCTAGGAGGAAAAAAATTGTTTCATGTGCTGCGCCCAGGGTTCCCCTGCTCTGTGCAGCCTCGGGATATCGTGCCTGTATCCTAGCTGCTTCAGTCCCAGCTGTGGCTAAAAGGGGACATGATAAAGCTCGGGCCATTGCCTCAGAGGGTCCAAGCCCCAAGCCTTGGCAGCTTACTAATGGTGTTGGGCGTGAAAGTGCACAGAAATCAAGAAGTGAGGTTTGGGAACCTCTAACCAAGATTTCAGAAGATGTACAGAAATGCCTGAATGTCCAGGCAGAAGTTTGCTACAGGGGCAGAGCCCTCATGGAGAACCTCTGCTAGGGCAGTGCAGAGGGGAAATGTGGAGTCAGAGCCCACACACAGAGTTCTGACTGGGGCACTGCCTAGTAGAGCTGTGAGAGGAGGGCCACCATTCTCTATACCCCAGAATGGTAGACCCAGCAACAGCTTGCACTTCCACCTGGAAAAGCTGCAAGCACTCAATGCCAGCCTGTGAAAGCAGCCAAGAGTGAGGCTAGTCTGTACCCTGCAAAGCCACAGGGGTGGAGCTGCCCAAGGCTGTGAGAACTGACCTCTTGCATCAGCATGACCTGGACATGAGACATGGGGTCAAAGTAGATCATTTTGGAACTTTAAGGTTTAATGACTGCCTTATTGGATTTTAGACTTGCATAGGGCCTGTAGCCCCATTGTTTTTTGGCCAATTTCTCCCATTTGGAATGTGTATATTTACTCACTAGTAAGTAACTAACTTGCTTTTGATTTTACATGTTCATAAGCAGAAGGGACTTGCCTTATCTCAGATTTGGACTTGGACTTTTGAGTTCATGTGGGAATGAGTTAAGACTTTGGGGGGACTCTTGGGAAGGAATGATTGTGTTTTGAAATGTGAGGACATGAGATATGGGAGGAGCCAGGGCCAGCATGATATGGTTTGGTTGTGTCACCACCTAAACCACATCTTGAATTGTAAACCCCATAATCCCCACAAGTCGTGGGAAGGTCCTGGTGGGAAGTAATTGAATCATGGTGGCAGTCTCCCCCATGCTGTTCTTGTGATAGTGAATAAATCTGATAAGATATGATGGTTTTATAAGCGTCTTGCATTTCCCCTGTTTGCTCTCACTCCATCATACCACCCTGTTTAGAAGGTGCTTGCTTCTTCTTGGCCTTCTGCCATGATTGTAAGTTTCCTGAGTCCTCCCCAGCAATGTGGAACTGTGAGTCAATTAAACCTCTTTCCTTTATACCCAGTCTCAGGTATTCCTTCATATCAGCATGAGAATGGACTAATATAATTTCATACTATTTTTAAAGTCATTTCGTGCTTATTACTAAGGAGTGGGGTCAGTGTTGATTTACTTTGATATCCCCAGTACCTAGAACAATGAATAATACACAGTAAGCATACATTAAACATTTGGTATATGATCAAATTGAGTCCTTTCTTTATCCCTCACACTAAGCTGGTACAAATTTACAGTGACAGGAAATTTCTAACTAGCCCATTGCATATCTCAATAATTCTATTAAAATTCCATAAAATTATTGTATCAAGTATATCTCCCTGTACTGTCTTGTAACTGGTCTTAGTAGTACCTTCTTAAGATTGTATAGAAAAGGTCATACATTTCATTTAAATTAGAAAACTGTGTTTCATTTTCTTATCTCCATTCCATTGATCCTGAGATATTTAGGATCCAGATTTATACCCAGTAACATATAAAATATCCCTCTCAGCTTCAGTAGACACTCACAGAGGTAATAAACATGTGTTGCCCAGCTGCATCCACATCTCAGCCCAACACTGACTAGGACAGGTGGGAACAGAGTCCTTAACCAAAACATTAGCAGTGGGTATCTGAATATCAGTACAAGACAAGGCATATTCTCGACCAAAACCAAACTAAATGAACATATATCAAAAAATAACAGTCTGCAAAAGCAAGATATTTTATTAAGAAAATGCCATAAAGCATTAAATATTATAAATGTTTTCAAATATTAGAGTGTGATTTTTACAAGAAAATAATTCTTCAAGATGATTTATGTCAAAATGACAAAGAACTTACAATGATTTTCCTGCAGTTTTTAAACAATTCAAATACCATTGGTTCTAGTTTCATCAACAAAGCTGTTATTCTCAAAGCTGCTACATGTATATGAGAAATAATCATATACAGAGGCAGGGAAAGAAACACTATTTTCTTACATGGTATCCTGTAAGTAATGAAGATTCAGAAAATAGATAAATCATGCTGTGAAACCTATAGTATGAGATGGATTGGAACTCATGAGAAATAATAACTTACTTAGAAAAATGGCAATAATAATTATAAATATTTCCTGAAGGTTCTACACTAGATCATTCACATAAAATTTTATATATACACATATATGCAAATCTATATGCTATGAGATATAAAGGTATTAAATAAATGTAAAATATTATGACTTCAATGATGATAATCACTAAAGACAAATATTAGTTATCTAACATCTGTTAAATCAATGAGCTAATAAATGAAAAATATAAAAATTAAAGGCAAAAATAATTAGGAATGAAAGGTATAGGAAGAACACATTAATTGCTGATTAAATAGAATCATCTCTCAAAGAAGGAACAACGGCAAGAGGTGGCTGGGGCTTCTCCACTCCTAGTCTCTCTGACCACCACCACCACCACCACACAAGAAAAAGTACACTACGTGTATGTTGCTATGTACATACTGTATGTGCTTGCTGTGCAAATACTGTCAAAACAGCTTCCACCTCGAACTCTACTCCCCTCTCCTAGAAATTCAGAACCCTCAAACTGCCAGGAGCACACTCAAATATGCCATATATCCTCAACATAAACTGAAGATTTCACTTATATGTATCAACCACACACAAAGAGCTGTCATTTTCTACAATTCGATTGTTTACCAAATCTGCACGAACCAGAAAATTTCCAACTCTCCCTAATTTTATACTGCCCCAGCCTCTTATGATTCTTCAGTGAAATATGGAGAGGATACAATTCATATCAAAAAGTAGCTGTTGAACTTAAATAAGATGTAGATATAAAAGGTCTTCATAACTTCTTTCCTTCATCTAATCTTTGTTAAAATTTCACCTCTTAATGAGGCACACCCTGATTACCCTACTTAAAACTTTGACTTCACGCACTTCCCTCTGCCCAACCCTAGCAAGCTTGATCTTGACTGTCCCGACTGCCCTTACCCTACTCAGAATTTTCTGTTTTCTCCAAAGGAAATAACACTTTCTAACACATTACATATTATTTATTGTCTCTTTATACCAGGAGGCAGGGCTAATCCTCAGTTTTGTTTTCTGTTTTATCCTGAGTACCTCAAACAGCACATAGTAAGCACTCAGTAAATATTTACTCAATAAATGAATGAATATTTGCTATAATGCAGATGTCTCATGCCATATGTTTGAATAGCAGTACACGTTTTACATATTGTACCTTGGTGACAAAATACTATTGACAATGACAAAAGGAACATTTTGTTATTTCCTAAAATTATAAAGCTGCAAATATATTAGTCCACTTTCACACTGCTACAAAGAACTGCCTGAGCCTGGATAATTTATAAAAGAAAGAGGCATAACTGACTCACACTTCAGCACTGTAAGTTCAGGAAACTTACAATCATGGCAGAAGGCAAAGGGGAAACAAGGCACCTTCTACACAGGGTGGCAGGAAGGAAAACAAATGGAGGAGGAACTGCCACACGCTTATTAAATCATCAGATCTCATGAGAACTCACTATTAGGAGACCATCATGAAGGAAACCACTGCCATGATTCAATTACCTCCAGCTGGTTTCTCCGTTGACATGTGCAGATTATAAGGATTATGGGGGTTCAATTCAAGATGAGATTTTGGGTGGGAACCCAGCCAAACCGTATCAGATATAGTCTATGCTTTTCAGCTGGACTGGCACCTCAATCTCTTGGTAGCCTAAATTAATCAATAGAAGACTTTTCCCAATTAAAAATAATTAAACAAGCAGTTTAGTTTAACATTCTTGTAGTAGATGAATGCTAATAAAATATTTTGAGGCTAAACTCAAATAGGTGACAGGTGAATACTTGTCATATCCTTTGATTGGCATTTTTCATTCCTCTGTATGTTAAAGTGAGACTACTGGAATTGATCTGTACCCCACCTCACCTCACAAATACACCCAACTGCAAGCCTTTCTGACATCAATGCTAAAAACATACAGACAAAACATATAGTCCCAGCTAAAATGGAAACTTGCAATAGATTAATTTGTCATGGTAATATGAAGATGGCGTCCTTTTTATTTCTTCCATTTTCTTCAAGTTCTTAGGATGAACACTTCACCAGAACAAGTACAGTGGTCCCCTCTTTTCCATGGTTTTGAGCTCCAGGGTTTCAGTTACCCACAATCAACAGCTGCCCAAAAACAGGTGAGTATAATCCAATCAGATATTTTGAGAGAGAATCACATTTACATAACTTTTATTTCAGTCTGTTCTTATCAATGTTCTATTTTATTACTAGTTATTACTGCTAATCTCTTACTAATTTACAAATTAAATTTTATCAAAAGTATGTATGCATAGGAAAACAGTGTATATAGAGTTTAGTACTATCTGTGGTACCAGGCACCCACTAGGGATCTTGGAACATATCCCCTGTGGAAAAAGGGGACTCCTATGTAGTAAAAAAAGATACTACATCCCCAGCATGCATTCCTCCTCTTTATGAGATACTAGCACCTGACTTTTCTTTGAATATTTATTTACCCTCTCTCAAGTATACAATTAGATACTCAGTTCTGGAGGTATCAGGACTGGTAAAGATGATCGACATAATTTATCCCCTTATCCACTGCAAATTGTTTGGAGATGAGTACATGCCACAATTTGGGCCAAAGAGAGCACAAGAATTGCTGGGGTGTGTGCATCAACCCTGCAAGAGATTTCTGCTCTTCAGTAGAAAGACATGTTGAGATGGCAGCCAGTCTACAACACAAGAGGACAGCCTAGAGCCAGAGATCCACAATGTGGCACCTGAGAATGAAGCTGGCAGTGCAGGTCAAAGAGTTAAGAAACAAGAAACCAGTACCTGGGGGCTGTTTTGGTAGCCCATCAAGCCTCATTGAAGCTGAATTCTCCTCTATCCTTTTCAGTTATGTGAATAAATAATTGTTTTATTTTGTGTGGTTAAAGCTATTTGTTTTCATTGCTTGCAGTATAAGCAGTTCTTACCACCAGCCTTCCCACAGATGAAGAAAATATTCATTTATATGGTAGGGCTGAAAAAGAAGACACCTAACAAATGACTTCTTTTTTCATTTCAATGTTTTGTTTATTTATTTAATTTTTTTTGAGATGGAGTCTGGCTCTGTCACCCAGGCTGGAGTGCAATGGCACGATCTTGGCTCACTGCAACCTCCACCTCCCGGGTTCAAGCAGTTCTCCTGCCTCGCCTCCCGAGTAGCTGGAACTACAGGTGCACGCCACCATGCCCAGCTAATTTTTGTATTTTTAGTAGAGATGGGGTTTCACCATTTTGGCCAGGATGGTTTTGATCGCTTGACCTCGTGATCCGCCCGCCTCAGCCTCCCAAAGTGCTGGGATTACAGGCATGAGCCACCACACTTGGCCCATTTCAATGTTTTATCTGCATTTAGACATGAAAATTACTACTAGGTAGATTAAATATTTAGGTTCTTGCCTGCCATGGCCAGGTCAGTATCTAGGAATTTAACATCCAAAAACTTAAAGACTATGTACATTGGGAGGCCAAGGGAAGATAAACATTGAAAAGTGTATAGATCTACAGATTGGGAAAGCCATGGTCCCTAAAGACATGATATGTTGGCGTGGTATTAGCAAACTCATTATCAGGTTGGGTAATGAATTTGTGCTAATCAAGTATTGTCATTATAATAGTGTTCTACCTTCTTCAGCCATTTCAGCACAAGGTAAGAGTTTATAATGACATACATAATTTTACCATAAAACACAGAGAATTAATACCTTAGCAAGCGTTTTATCCTTGGTATTATCTAAAAGGTCCTAGGGCATAATTGAAAATTAGCCAGAAACAACTGTAAATTAAGTAAAATAGGGACCAAAATTGCAAATTTTATATATAAATACACACTTGTATGTACACACACATACATACATCATGGAAAAGACAGAATTTAGGAACAACCTGGTAATATAAAAAAGAAATTTTCTTCCACATGTAAATTTTCCTTAAACTTTCATTTGACTTAAGTATGAAACTAGAGACCTGCCAAAAAGTTTTAATAAATAATACATTATAAAGATATGTTCCATTATACTTGGCTGTAATAACAAAAATAATAAAAATTGAATTGAAAAGATATAATAACAAGCTGAATACCAAGTTCAATAATAACAATCTGAAATAATTCACAATGATAAAGGAAATATCACAAGTTCACATTAAAATGATGAATGCCCTAAGGTCTCCAAAAACAAAATTTGAAAGCAAATATTAAAGGTGCAGAAAGTTACAAATAAGGTAATTTAATCCTAATCGTCAGCATGATCATTCATCAGGTTTGAGGAGACTGAAGAACAGAAAGAGGCAAAAAACTTACTAAAACAGAAGTAGTATTTTACAAAGGGATACTCATGGAACAAATTAAAGTGGTACAACTCAATCTCACGCATACACAAGCAAAAATTCTCGTCTGGCAAATCTTGTCTATTATTTGTGGAAAACAGGATCTTCAGGCAGAAAGTGTAAACACAACACTCCATGCATACAGGGAAACTGACGTCTGCACTCTCAGTCACTAGGTTACTATGGGCACATATCAATAAGTCAATAGATGTTCAGTGGCTAGACAAATGATGATTGAATTAAAACCATTTCTCTCCTCATGAAAATAATGGTATTTTTCTCATAAATATAAACACATATAAACCAGAAAATGAGTCTCACACAGAGAAGAAACACTTGTTTTTTACTCACTATATACTAATGCTGCCTTGAGGAAATTAAATAACTCTTTTCTATTTGGACACAATTAATGCAGATTCTTAAAATAACAAAAATTAGCATTTCATATGCAATTAAGTAAAGTTTAAAATACATTAATGTTAACAAAACTAACATCCAGTAAGGAAAATTGAAATATACATGCACATCGAGGTTAACAAATGCAGTAGTATAAAGTACTACAGGAAAAATTCAGAATATGTTTGAATAAGTTTTAACTTGTTTTTAAAAAAAAATGACAAGGAAAAAAACTGGTATTAGGAACTTGGCAAAAAATTAACAATAAACAGTTTTCGGAACATGCCGTGGAATGATCAGGGTTCAGCTCAATTTCCCATACTGCCAACATCTAGAGCTATAGCAAACATAAAATATATGCTTGTAATATATGGTCCTAATCACAATAAAATCACAATCATCTGAGGGATAGGTTTATGTTCAGTGTGGTATATGTATGCATTTTTTAAAAAGAAAGAGGATCAAACAGTAAGGTTTATGGTGAATATTTATTTTAACCAAATAATTTTACTATTGGATTAACCTAATATTTTATTAGGTCTATATGAGTATGAAAGTCTACCTTATGAGTATTACATATTTTATTAGAATAACCAAATAATTTTATCATATAGAATATGATAAAATTATCAATCTACCCTATGACTATTAAAATATTAATTGAAACATAAGCTTTAAGCTGTAAGCTCCTTGAAGCTACCCACTGTATTCCTTTGTTTACGACCATATTCCCAGGACAAGAGCCCAACACGGTATGTAGCAAGTGGTAAGCACTCAATAACAAATAAAGTCATTTATAAAGGCATAGCAGATGAGATAAGTTATCCCTCTAGGCAAGGGATCAGCAAACTTTTCCTATAAAGGGCCAGATAGTAATTTTTTCAACTCTGCAGGCCATAGGGCCTGTGTCCAAACTAGTCAACTCTACCTGTGTAGCATGAAAGACTCTAGAGCTAATAAATAAATGAATGGAAATGGCTGTGTTCTAATAAAACTGAAATTTAACTTGCTTACAATTTTCATGTTATAAAATTTTCATTTGATTTTTTTCAACTTTTAAGAATGTAAAAACCATTCTTAGCTTGCCAAAACTACAAAAACAGCTATCAAGCCATATTTGGCCTGCAAGTTGTATTACTAGTTTACCAACCAACACTTATTCTAGGCCAACAATTAGATATTGTCCATATACAACTAAATGCTGTATATTGTAAGAAATTTAATACAAGGAAAAAGGCTTAGATTGAAAAAAAATCCCTCTGAACTTCATAGCTCCATCTGTAATAGAACTAATATAAAAACCAGAATTGCTGTTAAGATTAAATGAGATGATGCATAGTGATGAATACATATCAGATGCTCACCTCAGAACCTGGAAAGAATCTTTAGAAACAGCAGATGTTATAGGCAGACCACCTCACATCAAAGTTTACTACAGTGAGCAAAATATTAATATTCTCCAAAGAACTTTGTGTCAATATTTGCAAAACTATTTTTAATTTACTGACAACTGAAAGAAATTATTACAAGGCAATGAGTGTCAATAATCAACCTAATTTCAAAACACCAATGCAAAAGCCATTAGACTGTCATTCTCAATTACTTAATTTACTGTCTGCCAATAATTTAACTAATATAGGTTAATGAGTTTATACATTTTACATACATAAAACCTATCAGGTTATACTATGCTGACTCCTCTAAAATTCTTTAATGGGAAAGAAAACAGATCCTTTGAAAAAAATTGTAATAACATAATAATTGTTATTTCATGGACTATATCCGGAGAGACTTGGCTTCATAAAACAAGAGGCAAGGAGGTAAGTCTGGTGAAAACATGCCCAAGTTTCCTATTAGCTTATTCATTTTAGGTCAAGTCATCATTTAGTACCCATCCATTTATCCAGGACAGAAAACACTTGTGCAAATTATCCTGGCAAGATGTTATGGGGCTCTGAGACATCTACTGTAACTTTATGGACTGAGTTTATAAGGTTACGAACTTATAAGTGCTACTTCCTCCTAGGTATCATGCACATCAATTTTGAAAATTTATTTCCAGTGACTTGCATATAGACCCTTACACAGTGTAATTAAATACAATGTATATATGGCTAATAAACTCTAAGATTCTTTTCAATAAACTAAAATTCTCCAACAAAATATAGCCTAATACTCTGATAAATAAGATAACCTTTAAAGTATCCAACCTTAAAGGATGTGATCTATTGACAACTGTCTCCCTCACTAAATGAGTAACATTAATAAGAACATTTGAGTACATTTAGTATATGAGATATGAATCACTTTACATGAATTACATTTCTGAATCCCCATAATAACCTTATAAGGCAAGTGTAATTATCACATTTTAAAATATGCAGACTGTAGTTCCCAGAGATTAAATAACTTGTCCAAGGTCACACAATTGATAGGAACACTGTGTGGGATCTGAACCTGTCTTGCTTTGTACTTTGCTTAGTACCCTGCTTAATTAAACCTCTGTTATTTGGGCACAACTAAGCAGAAAAATGCCTTTACAATTTATAGGAACATTTATTTAGTTATTATTCTCCAGTTTTAAAATACCTGAACATTCACTAGCTGTTAGGCAGACATGATGACCCCACATGACCATGCTACATCCGAAGACTTAGAAATTTTCATGGTTTTCGCAGCCTCCTGAAAATGGGCAATGAATGCTTATCTATCCCTCTCTCCCTTTTTCCTCCTTCTTCAACTCATTACATTATCATTATCTTTATTATATTTATGACATAAGTTGACTTTTTCTTTTTCTTTTAAACATACCATTACAATCAACATCTCTGTGTATAAATGTTTGGTTCCGGTTATTTTCTTAGAAATGAATTCTGGAAATAAAACTACTGGGAAAATTATGAGAGCATTTTCAGGTTCCTTGATATTTGATGCCAGAGTGCTTTCTAGGAAATTTGTAAAAATATGTATTCCTATTAGTAGTATATAAGGATGAACAGTTCATCCTTTTAAAATATAAGTAATTTTAGGAGAGACAATTCATCATGGATTTCTTGCTGTGAATTAATTGAATTGATTTACTTGCTCCTTAATAGCAAGCAGAAATCTGTTTCATTATGGGAAAGATGATTTCCATTGGAGGAGAAGGAAAGAGAAAGTTTAGATAATTTTGGAGTGTGCAACAGGGATAGGAAGTGGTTCTTTCAGTTGAGGACTGAGTGGCTAATGGACAGTATGAAAAGAAATGGACATGCTCAGAGGGCAAAATAGTTGTCTATCAATAAAGTAAAGTAAACAAGGTAAGAAGAAATCAAAGACCATCTTCAAAGTTGGCTCTGAAAACATGAAGTATAATTTCCTATACCTTCATATTGGCATATTGATATGGATTTTCTTTAGCAAATAGCAATGATAAAATTTTACTGGGTTTTAACATGTTAGCTTCTTTATTTTCCCCTATTCATTGCTGACATTGCCTTTCTTCTCATCAGTATGCAAGATATACACTTAAAAATATTTTGGGGGGATATTTTCAAGAGTCTTGGAAGAATTGAATATATTCAAGCTTTAACAATAAGAGTCCATAATCATTCATTAAATGGAATTGACTGGAACTCTGTAATTAAAAACTGCCTGCCAGATTAAGGGCACAGCAGGCATAGAGCAAAATGACAGATACTCCAAATAACCAAAGATACAGATCTAAAATTAGCTCAAACTTGTTCTCAGATTTGCTAAGAAGGGGAATAGTTCCATAAAGTAAACTGAAATCTAAAAGATCTCTGTTTGTGGATACAGGTATGAATATCGTCTTTTTCCCTGCAGAGATATAATCACAAAATAACCAATTCCCACTTTCTTCTTCATTGTATAAAGTGTACTGTGGCAGATTGTTCCTTTTATTTACCAGGCTTCTAGAAACATTTATACTTTTCAAGCTAAAAAGGTTGTTTTTTAAATCATCAAATAACAGCCTTCAAGGAATGATTTCTTCAGCAAGAATGTCACAGGATTCAACTCTTAAAAACCTAAGTAACAGTATAAAAACTCTAAGTATATTGCCTAATATAATCTAGTATTTTCTTTCTGGTATCTAGATGGTGTATAAAGGAAAAGAAGAAATGCAATTTAACCTTGTAGCAATTCTCCATTCTTTCCCAAACTTAAAGAGACATTCTAATCTAGCATAATCTTCATTGTCCTATGTGTTGTAAAATAACCTTTTCTTTCAACAAGGCATTGAACGAAAGCTATAGTGTTTCAAACAAGAAAGTCATCCCTTCTGTTAATGGAAGTCGAACGTCTTTTTAGAACAGCACAGGGTTTTAAATGATGGCTTTCTTCCTAAAACCAGAGCCAGACTTCTGGGTAAAAGAGGGCACAGGGAAAACTTAGCATAGCAGGCTTGAGACTGCTGTCTTTAAAATGGCCTGCTTGCAAGACTGGCTTTTGGCTGACATCAGGAAACTTGAATGGTAAATAGTTTCTAAACTGATAGAAAACTTTCTTTCTTTGAGAAAGAGTCTTACTCTGTCTCCCAGCCTGGAGTACAGTGACACAATCTCGGCTCACTGCAACCTCTGTCTCCAGGGTCCAAGCGATTCTCATGCCTCAGCCTCCTGATTAGCTGGGATCACAGGTGTGTGACACCACGCCTGGCCAATTTTTTGTATTTTTAGTAGGGTAAAGAGTAAATGTTCCGGGGTGAAATACATTTGAGAAATATTAAGGTAAAATTAGATTTTTGGCAGACTTACTTAAAATGATACATGCACAGTGGGTTTCCAAAAGGGGCATACAGAATGTGGCAAATTTCACAAAATCATTTGATCACAGAAATCTTTTTTATATGAAGCAAAGCAGGACCAGTGCTTTTCTGTTTCAGTTCTAAAAGAGGGATCAGATACCTGCTTCATATAAACTTCAATCTGAACCTACTAATGACTGGGGATACCAGGATGAATGACCGCAGACTTCAACTTCCAGAAGTTCACATGTTAACAGGGAAAAGGAATAAAATGATGATAGAATTGTTTATCTCAAACTCAGCAAGAAAGTATAAACAAGGGACTAACCACCACCTCCAGCTGGGGAACTGTGAAGGGATGAATTCATAAATGAAAGTGCATATAAAAATATCTGGCATATTTTAAGCACTAAAAATATTTGGTTGTTATTACTTTTTAGATTGTCATAGTTGGTTGGTTTAGGCGAAGGAAGAATCCCATGAGTCAGACGAAGGAGGAAAGAGAGAGTCACAGAGGCCCTGGAGAACACAGAGTGTAACATCAGATGAATGAGGAGAGGCAGGCAGGTGCCCCTGGAGGTCCTGTGTGTCTCACTGGGAGCTCTTCAATGTAAAGGGCAAAGTCTCGCCCTTTCTAAAAGCCTTCAGTATGTTAAACAAATTCAAACAAAACAAGATTCAAAAAACATCGATGACAATAAAGTCAATTTGAAAGGACTATGATTGAGGCAAGCATAAGAATTAAGGTATAGTCAAGAGATAGTTTCACCTAATGTTCCCCTGGCAGTCTCATCATTCCCTTGGTGAGATGCTAATAAGGGTTAGAGAGCCAGTCTAAGGAATATAAAGTGAAGAACCTGTCACTCAGTTGTCAAGGGAAACTGCCTGTCTATAATTCCCTTAGCAAAGCCTTCATATCTTAGCATATGTTAATTAGACTTCATGCTTAAGCCTAAAAATTTATTACACTCCAGGCTTTGTTTCATTTTGTTTACATTTTTTAAAGAAATATATCAAAAAATGGAGTTGAGCTTTATATATGTTGTATAGTTTCCTCTGTTTGGTATAATAGTCAAACTTACTAACTGTTCACAATTTCTAACAGTCCAGTTTGTCATTTTCTCTAATTAATTTTTCATCTAAAAGTTGTTGGCATGTGGCTGAGAAGAACTGAAAAAGAGACGTAGGTAAGAGTAGAAAATAATAAGATTCATGAGATTAGGTGGATCAATGCAGATGTTTTTAACTGGAGATTCTGTGAAATGTAAATAGAATCAAACCTGAGGCTTTATCAAATTCAAAAGGATATCCTAAGCAATTCTGATTATGAATTACATCTACATTCATAAATTATGCACTTACAAAGAGGAAGTGTTTGAAAATATTTTTAAAAAGCAATGTTACTGAGAAAAAAATAAAATATTAAAAAGGTCTTAAGCAAACAATTTTAGGAAGTAAAATAAAACACTACCAGCTTATATTAAATAGTGCTTTAGTATTTCCAGAGAACTCTACATGTATGCCATTATTAGATCATTACTATAAGCACATGAGAAAGTCAGGAATATAACACCATGATTTAGTTTCACGTGTGGTGGTAAGACTTTCATATATGTAAATTAACAACACAAATGTAATTTGCACTTAATTCAAGAAAACAATCACTTTACTACTTATAAAAGCCTGAAATCTAAAATGCACACTGCTAACAGCCAAGATTAAGTATTAGTTATTTGATATCCACACTTGAATGTACCCTTCTCCCAATAACCCGCCCTCCCCACTATTTGAGAATCAGTGTCCCCATCTGTAAGTTGGAATTAAAATATAGGCATTTTCTGCTTATCATCAGTAGTCCATTTATGAAAAATCAGACATTCTATTCAAATGCCAAACAGGTAACAATTTCCAATTATTTTAACTGAGAAAGTTATATTTAAACCCAAATCCCCAATTCCCTAAAATGTAACTGAAACACATTTATACAGGTAATAGCCATTATGATGAAATGTAAAATGATGAGACATTTTCTGCTACTGCAACTAACATTTATAGCATTTTATATTTATAAAAGGGAGCATTGGTTTTTAAAGATTAGATACACTACCCCTGCCCATCGAGAGCACTCTTCAAAAATTTGGGTATGGCCATGCAAGTATTCAATGACAATGGGAAAATACTATAAAAAATATTGGTTTTATAAGATATATTCTTCAATAATTCATGCAATTTGCTTTAAAAAAAACCCTTATCTTTCCCAAGAGGGAAAAAGATACGATGAAAGACAGGAGACAAAAATCTGCCTATGTTTCTTTCTCCATTCCTCCAGTTTATAGTGCTAGAATTATCAGGGGACCTGGAATTATCTTATTATCTCTGTAATAGAAAATCTGTGGTTCAGCATCGACTCACCCTTTCTGCTAGCCTCATTCACCATATATACAGCGGTTCAATGTTTCCCTTAACCAAGCTTGTCTTCATAAACACAGTTACAATGAGTCTTTGGGCACCTTGTTGCAATATTCTTGATGCTATGTTCTTCTAAGACTTTGAAGGATTAACAGAGAAGATAAAATCAGAACTTGGACCTACAGTCCTATTCCTGACTTATGCTAGGGTTGTTTTCATCATACCATCTAGAACATGGCCTTGTGTTGATAGCAACACCTTCTGGAATGGCAAAATACTCATTGGTAACACAAGGAAAGACATACTAAAAATTTGCCTATACCCTTGCTAATTTCATATTACCAAATCACTCTGATTCTTCAGTGTTCTATCTTGGCTCAATCCAATATCTTGTAAGTAGCTGTTGTTAATAGGTAATTTAACAATTTATCAGTTTATAAGGTTTTGCTCTTTCCTGGTCTGGTCCAACTATTGCACCTTTACCCTTGCTACCTCAAAATCAAAGGTTTAGAGGGACATACCAGAAACACAATGTAAAGTATTTGATTATGTCGTTGACGTTATGTCACACTGACAGTGATGGTAGCATTCATTCCCAGGGATGCTACATATCCAGCGCAAGGAACAACTGTCTTACCCCATAGGCCAAAGGCTTTACCTGTTGAGAAGCAGTAGCAGTGACCCAGTCCCAGTTCTAACAACATTCTTTTTATAGAAAATATGGACATTGATCCTAAAGCTGTCTCTCACTAGTTCTGCCATTTTGTTGAAGTCGCTTAGCTTTCTGGGCCTCAGTTCCCTCATCAAAAAATTGGGATAAAGAATATTGTTTAATTTCTTCTATTTTAAATTACAGTAGGCCCTTCATATCTACAGGGGATTGGCTCCAGGACCCTAGAGAACATCAAAGTCTGAGGATGCTTAAGTCCCTTAGTAGGCCCTGCATGTCCCAAGGTTCCCCATACACTGTTGGATGAATCCTTGGATACCAAGGGTTGACTGTATTTCATATTTTTTATTATACTTATATATTTTAACTCATATCCTATAAACCTACATTTATAGCAATCCCTTGATATTCTGTAATTTTTAAGGCATTAGCTAGATCCTGCAATTAGTTCCTTAACCCCCTAAATATTAAGGAAACAATTTTAAAACTCCCTTTCCTAAATCCATTGAAGACCCAACAGAATACAATAGTGAAAGAATATCAGGAGTTTGATAAGATAGTACAGTTTCTTCTAAAGTTCTCAGAAAATTAACATGGTGGTAGGCATAACAGATACACTGAAGTAGGTGATTTTTAGCTTTGAATCAAAGAAGCACTGACTGACCCAGAAAAATGAAAAATAAAATATCAAGAGGAAAATCAGTAAGAGATATTCCTCATTCTGAGTTAATAGGAGTGAACCAGGCAGAGACGAACTAAGACAAATAGGCAAAAGAGAAAGCACCAAGATGTTACAGCTACCTGAAAATGAGGACTTTATAAACTAAGGACTGTACACCAGTTGCCAGGCTCAACACTTTGTATCAACAATCCACTTTTTGATTTTAACAAAGTTTTGGTATTTTAAATTTCTTCACTTTACTAGATCCCCAGTTTCACCTTCATTGCAAACTCAGACCAGGTCGGGAGGGGGTGTATTTGAAAATGAAGATAACCGCCTTTCAATTGTGAAAGAGCAGTGTAAAGGCTGTTTAATTTGGAGATAATGGCTTATATGAATTGTGTGTAATGTTGCATTAACTTGTTGTAATTGTCATGGTTATTAAAACTATAGCCAAACACTCACCATGTGCTCTACAGGGCACATTAACTATATAAAAGACATCATCTGTGCCCTCTAGGAACTTAGCCTAAAAGTTCAAAGCAGTGAGTTTGATACTCGTTGATACATGAAGAAAGTGGATTATACTGTATCAACCTAGAACGATGTAGTTCAAGAATTAGAAGATTCAGCTAAATCTTACTTTAAAAACTAAACCTCAACAAATGTAATTTAGTTTTTAAGGTTAAAATAAAGTGAAGAAGGAAATATAAGAGAAATTCATCAAGAGGCATTAACTCAAATTTTTCCTCTATCCTTGACCCTCATTTTACTGCCTATAGGTATAAAAAGGCTGGCTTCCCCTATTTTCTTATCTTGGATAGATGTGATCAGGCTGGCACTTCTGATTTTGGCAAGCCAGCAGCATTAAAGAAGGGGGAGAGGAGTCACACCTGACCAGATCTTCAACTTGTTTTTGAGTCTGCTTGTCCCTGCCTCTCTCGCTGTTTCTTCTGCTCCTGAAAATATGATTAATATCTATGCATTTGTAAAACTCTGCATTGTAAGCAAGGCTGTGGCTTTTCCATCCCAACGAGGTTGAGGTATGGAGTTAATGAGAAGTGAGACTGTGGGGAATGAACAGGAACATGCCAATGTTAAAGTAATTGAGCATGAATATCAAACACTGACTTGGGAACAGTCTTCATTTGCTGAGGGAAAGTCTGATCAGCTGGTGGGCAGATGGGATGTGCAGAGACCTGCGTTCACTGCCAGCCCCAGAATTTCCATATCATACAGGCTATACCTTATAAGCACAACACCTTTGTGTTTCCACCTAGAATCATGTTTCTTTTTCTTCTTTCTTTTCATTTTCCTACCTTTTTCTCTTCCCTCCTTCCTGAGAAAGGTTCCTTCTCTTCTTTGAAAGATGTGCCCAATATTGAGAAAATTAACACCTTTTCAAAAGATGTAGGTTATTATCAATCTCAAGTTGTAGGAAATAGTTTTATTCAAAACAGTAATAATAATCTCTTTTTTTTTCTTTCTTTTTTTTTTTTTTGAGAAGGAGTTTCACTCTTGTTGCCCAGGCTGGAGTGCAGTGGCGCAACCTTGGCTCACTGCAACCTCCGCCTCCCAGGTTCAAGCAATTCTCTTGCCTCAGCCTCCCGAGTAGCTGGGATTACAGGCGCCCACCACAACACCCGGCTAATTTTTTGTATTTTTAGTAGAGACAGGGTTTCACCATGTTGGCCGGGCTGGTCTTTAACTCCTGACCTCAGGTAGTAATAATAATTTCAAGAAAACTAAATGTTAAAGAAAATTTTCTAACGTTAGTCCTAAATTCTTATGAATACACAATTATGCATTTTTACAAAAATTCATTTACAAAGATGATTTTAGCAGAGTTTACAAAGCAAAAAAATGCACACCCGAAATGTACATTAATTGGGAATTGGTTAAGTGAAATAAGGTACATTCATTAAATGAAGTTAAAATGATCCACGAGAAATATATAATAATTAATGAGGATATAGGCAACAATTATGTATTATTAAATGAGCATATATAAATTATAAGCTCTTTTGAAATATATATGTTTAAAGGATTAATTTTTACATAATGGTGATAAAATTTCCCCAAGATTGTGTTCCAACTTGTCATTTTGTAAGTTTCCATTTTTTTTTCCTCATTAAACTTTTTTAATGGGTCTCAAAATTCTGTGACAAATTTTTGGTCAAGTTGTTTCCATTAAAAAGTACTGATTTTAAAAACTAGTAACTTAAAACTGCCACAGGCAAAAAAGAAAATCAAGGTGGTCCACAAAACATTCTCCTTTCCTTCTGAAAATTTTACAATGCATTGTTATCATTAACCAGTCTTTTACTACTAAACGTAAATGGCCAATTGAAACAAACAGTTCTGAGACCGTTCTTCCATCACTGATCAAGAGTGGGGTGGCAGGTATTAGGGATAATATTCATTTAGCTTTCTGAGCTTTCTGGGGAGACTTGGTGACCATGCCAGCTCCAGCAGCCTTCTTGTCCACTGCTTTGATGACACTCATGGCAACTGTCTGTCTCATAGCACGAACAGCAAAGCGACCCAGAGGTAGATATTCTGAGAAGCTCTCAACACACATGGGCTTGCCAGGAACCATATCAACGATGTTAGCATCACTCGACTTCAAGAATTTAGGGCCATCTCCTAGCCTTTTACCAGAACAGCGATCGATCTTTTCCTTCAGCTCAGCAAACTTGCCTGCAATGTGAGCCGTGTGGCAATCCAGTACAGGGGAATAGGCAGCACTGATTTGGCCTGGATGGTTCTAGATAATCACCTGAGCAATGAAGCCAGCTGCTTCCATTGGTGAGTCATTTTTGCTGTCACCAGCAATGTTGCCTTGATGAACATCCTTGAGAGACACATTCTTGACACTGAAGCCCACAGTGTCCCCAGGAAAAACTTCACTCAAAGCTTCATGGTGCATTTCGACAGACTTTACTTCAGTTCTAACGGTGACTGGAGCAAAGGTGACCACCGTACCAGGTTTGAGAATGCCAGTCTCCACTCGGCCAACAGAAACAGCACCAATACCACCAATTTTGTAGACCCCCTGGAGGGGCAGGTGAAGGGGCTTGTCAGTTGGACGAGTTGGTGGTAGGATGCAATCCAGAACCTCAAACAGCGTGGTTCCACTGGCATTGCCATCCTTACCGGTGACTTTCCATCCCTTGAACCAAGGCATGTTAGCACTTGGCTCCAGCATGTTGTCACCATTCCAACTAGAAATTGGCACAAATTCTACTGTGTCAGGGTTGTAGCCAATTTTCTTAATGTAAGTGCTGACTTCCTTAATGATTTCCTCGTATCTCTTCTGGCTGTAGGGTGGCTCAGTGGAATCCATTTTGTTAATACCAACAATTAGTTGTTTCACACCCAGTGTGTAAGCCAGAAGGGCATGCTCTCGGGTCTGCCCATTCTGGGAGATAACAGCTTCAAATTCACCAACACCAGCAGCAACAATCAGGACAGTACAGTCAGCCTGTGATGTCCCTGTAATCATGTTTTTGATGAAGTCTCTGTGTCCTGCGACATCAATGATAGTCATATAGTACTTGCTGGTCTCAAATTTCCACAAGGAGATATCAACGGTGATACGACATTCATGCTCAGCTTTCAGTTTATCCAAGACCCAGGCACAACTTGAATGAGTCCTTTCCCATCTCAGCAGCCTCCTTCTCAAATTTTTCAATGGTTCTTTTGCCAATGCCAACGCACTTGTAGATCAGATGGCCAGTAGTGGTGGACTTCCCCGAATCTACATGTCCAATGACGATAATGTTGACGTGAGTCTTTTCCTTTCCCATTTTGGCTTTTAGGGGTAGTTTTCATGACACCTGTGTTCTGGTGGCAAACCCTTTGTGAAAAAGTGTAAGTTTCCATTTTGAATGTATGTTACAATTGCTAAAATAAAAAAACTATAAAAAGTAACCAACCAATGAGTTTATCAATCTCTTCCTATACACCATGACAATTGGAAACATAGAAAAAGCAACCATATGAGAAAGATCTTGAACAAAAAAATGTTTATAATTTACCTTAGTAGCATAGTATTCTCTGACTTCAGGCCTAATAGAATCAAAGTCTCCATTGATGAATTCAGGCAAAAAGCTGAAAGAAACAGTAAGTAAAGTAAGTCAACTAGTTATTTCTATTTATTTTTGAAACTTTAAAACTGTGGCCAAGTGCAGTGGCTTACAACTATAATCCCAACACTGAGAGGTTGAAGCAGGAGGACTGCTGGAGGCCAGGAGTTCAAGACCAGCCTGGGCAACATGGCAAGACCCTATCTCTACAAAACAATTAAAAAATTAGCCGGGCATGATAGTGCACACCTGTAGTCTCAGCTACTTGGGAGGCTACACTGGGAGGATCACTTGAGCCCAGGAGTTCGAGGATATAGTAATCCATGACAGCATAACTCCAGCCTGGGTGACAGAGCAAGACTCCATCTCTAATTTAAAAAATAAAACTGTGATTATAAGGACCAAAGAGAAAAGTAATGTACTCAGAACAAAACCAAAAACACAGAAACTATTTTTAGAGAGAATAGGATGTTATACCACATGCTCTTGGTTTCAATGACTGAGGCAAACAACAGGTATCCAACCAATTCATCAACTCAGTCACAATGTCAGAGAATACTTCTTTTTAAACAAATCGATAAAAATTAAAGATTATTGGTTTAAAAAATCCTAATAGAAATACTCATCATCTTTGCATATTACCTTGTATATATATATAAGGTTTTACATTATTGTATCCTCACACAAATTCATAAATTTCAACAGATATGAATAGAACAAATGATCATGAGGATTCTTTGAAATCTGTCCCAAGCAAGAGTCAGTTCAAAGACATTTTCCAAATATTCTATTGACATATTTCTAGACACAGGAATCTTTTAGATAAGTCTGAAATACTACAAGAGTCAAGGTTATTAAATAGAGAGAGAGATTCACAAATGTGGTTGCTTCTAATAATATTACTACTGCCTTTACTTTTTTCCCTGCTATATTAAGTCAGTTTAGAAAGCATACCTTACTCCATCTATTATGCATAAACCATCATTTGCTATTTTTACATAAAACATTTACATGATCTGGTAGAGTTTCTTCCCACTTAAAACACCTAATTGTAGAGAAATAAAACATCCCTGGATTTCTCAGTACTATGCAGAAATCCTTAGCCTGCTGAGCCTCAGAAATGTATATGATACAAAGAAGGGAATGGTTGCTTTCACTTCCTGTAATAAAAATATTCCACCCTTCACATGCCATGAGAATTAAAACTGCAAACATTTATCTAGTTAACTGCTTTGATTCAAAATACTAAAACTTCTTAGGTCTTCTCAAGAGGGCCAAATTGTTATCTGATGAACTAGGTCCCTAGCTAAAGAAGACTGGGGTGTTATATTTCTGGGTATTACATGTCAAAAAAGGTGAAGCCCCAGAACTTGGAGAAAACTCTATGTCATAACAAGAGGTGACAGCATGCTGGCAGCCCTCGCTCGCTCTCGGCACCTCCTCGGCCTTGGCGCCCACTCTGGCTGCACTTGAGGAGCCCTTCAGCCTGCCGCTGCACTGTGGGAGCCCCTCTCTGGGCTGGCCGAGGCCAGAGCTGGCTCCCTCAGCTTGCGGGGAGGTGTGGAGGGAGAGGCACAGGCGGGAACTGGGGCTGCACGTGGTGCTTGCGGGCCAGCGCGAGTTCCAGGTGGGTGTGGGCTCAGCGGGCCCCGCATTTGGAGTGGCCGGCTGGTGCCACTGGCCTCAGGTAGTGAGGGGCTTAGCAACCAGGCCAGCAGCTGCGGAGGGTGCGCCAGGTCCCCCAGCAGTGCCGGCCCGCCAACGCTGCTCTTGAATTATCGCCAGGCCTCAGCTGCCTCCCCACAGGGCAGGGCTCAGGACCTGCAGCCCGGCATGCCTGAGCCCCCCCACCGCCACCCGCCATGGGCACCTGCGTGGCCCGAGCCTCCCCAACGAGCGCCGCCCCTGTTCCGCAGTGCTCAGTCCCATCGACTGCCCAAGGGCTGAGGAGTGTGGGCGCATGGCACAGGACTGGCAGGCAGCTCCACTTGCAGCCCCGGTGCGGGATCCACTAGGTGAAGCCAGCTGGGCTCCTGAGTCTAGTGGGGACTTGGCGCACCTTTATGTCTGGCTGGGGGATTGTGAATACACCAGTCAGCACTCTGTGTCTAGCTCAAGGTTTGTAAATGCACCAATCAGCACTCTGTATCTAGCTAATCTGGTGGGAACCTGGAGAATCTTTATGTCTAGCTAAGGGATTGTAAATACACCAATCAGCACTCTGTGTCTAGCTCAAGGTTTGTAAATGCACTAATCAGCACTCTGTATCTAGCTAATCTGGTGGGGACTTGGAGAACCTTTATGTCTAGCTAAGGGATTGTAAATACACCAATCAGCACTCTGTGTCTAGCTCAAGGTTTGTAAACACACCAATCAGCACTCTGTGTCTAGCTCAAGGTTTGTAAACATGCCAATCAGCACCCTGTGTCTAGCTCAAGGTTTGTAAATGCACCAGTCAGTGCTCTGTATCTAGCTAATCTAGTGGGGACGTGGAGAATCTTTATGTCTAGCTAAGGGATTGTAAATACACCAATCAGCACTCTGTGTCTAGCTCAAGGTTTGTAAACGCACCAATCAGCACCCTGTCAAAACAGACCAATCAGTTCTCTGTAAAACAGACCAATCAGCTCTCTGTAAAATGGACCAATCAGCAGGATGTGGGTGGGGCCAGATAAGGGAATAAAAGCAGGCTGCCTGAGTTAGCAGTGGCAACCTGCTAGGGTCCCCTTTCACACTGTGGAAGCTTTGTTCTTTCACTCTTTGCAATAAATCTTGCTGCTGCTCACTCTTTGTGTCTGCACTGCCTTTATGAGCTGTAACACTCACCGCGAAGATCTACAGCTTCACTTCGGAAGCCAGCAAGACCACGAACCCACCGGGAGGAATGAGCAACTCCCGACGGGAGGAACGAACAACTCCAGACGCACCGCCTTAAGAGCTGTAACACTCACCACGAAGGTCTGCAGCCTCACTCCTGAAGCCAGCGAGACCACAAACCCATCAGAAGGAAGAAACTCCAAACACATCCAAACATCAGAAGGAACAAACTCCAGATGTGCCACCTTTAAGAACTGTAACACTCACCGCGAGGGTCCGCAGCTTCATTATTGAAGTCAGTGAGACCAAGAACCCACCAATTCCAGACACAATAATATATAAAACACGGGGGGTTATCTGGCTCCTGGAGACATTCTATTAATATACCAAAGGGTTTCAGGATTCACGTCCAGAAAATTTCTATGGAGACCCTTTCACGAGGGGAGAAACACAGCTGTATTTTCTACTTAATAATAAGAAAAATAAAAAACAAAAACATGTTGCCTTATCCTTCACCTATGGGTGTGCAACTACCAGCAGAAGACAATGGACCTGGCTCTCACTGCTTGGGCAAAGGGGTAACAAACTAGGGCAAAGGGGACTAATGTTATGACACATCTCTCTCAGAAAATCTGATGTGTGAGTTCAGAATAAAATTAATAGAGACAAAATTTGGAGAAAAAAATGCAAACCCTGTCCTTTAGCACATTTATTTTTGTAAGGTTCTTGACTCAATTGGAAATACTATTTCTGAGGTCAAACCTAATCTAACTGATCTGTGTTGGGCCACCTCTTCTTTGAGTTACCACAAAGATCTGTACCATATAAATTCCTTAGCTCGGATGAGCTAGGCCCAACAATTTTTTTATTAGTCAATTCATTCCACAAATATTCCCTGAACACCAACTATATGCAAAAGACTACAGCTAATCTCAGAAAAAAAGTAGAACTGGAAAGTAAATGTAAGTACTTAGGTGTTCAAATCACATCTGGTTTCAACATCTTCCCATAAGCTTTCTTCCTGGAAACTTCCCTGCACACTGTATCTATTACTTTCAATTTCATTTTATACCTATTTAGGTAAATAATTTATACCTTACCCTGTTAGGACCAAAAATAGACTATTAAGTTTTTTTCTCTTTATTTTTTCTTGTTGTATAAATTCATTCATTTTCAAAGTTTCTTTACAATGTTTCCACCCATCTCCATATAACTGCATGCAAATTAATACTCAGATGAATCACAGAATATTAGGGCTGGAAGGAATAAAAGAAATTACCCTTCTAATATCCTCATTATCCTTTCTGAAGAACTGAGATCCAAGACGTCAAGGGCATTTTGTCTGTAAAGCCAATATCCAATCTATTTCACCAAATAAAGCAACCATTTAAAATTAGGACTCTGGGTCTCTGCTGGTTCAAGCAACATCCTGGGAAGACCGACTTTATGTTGCTCTCCAAATTTTAGTCTGTCAGATCTCTAGAACCAATTTGGCAGTTTCCAAATAGCATATTGATTTTGTCAATAAATAAAAATGAAAAATAAAAGCTGATACACACAGGCAACTGAGCATCTATCCCCTTAGGGACAATTCATCCTAAAGACAATTAGATCTCGCTATATCTTACACTGTGAATAATGAAAGAAAGCATTCATGCAAATTCACTTACATTTTAGTGGAAAATATTAACAGGAAAACAAACTTATATAGGTAGTAGATACCTAACTTCTGTTAACTTTTAATATAATTTTCTCCAATGTAACATGTATGCTTTCAAATTGAATCAGGATGCTTACTTCTAAGAAGGCCCATGCCAAAAATACACCTGGTATTCATGCTGAGATGACTAAAATAATTATAACTTTTGGTCATATAATGCACTCGTTTTTGAAACTTGCTGAAATGTACTTTTTGACGCTGCAATTAAAAGCCCATCTCACTTTTCCTGAGGTGCCTGTTGCCATGGTGCCTGGGCATTCTGAAGAGGAACTTACTGAGGATGACACTTCACAGATGTAGAAGAGCTATGTTATGATATAAATGACAGTTTACACAAGCAGATTATTTTCAGAACTCTCTGGGGACTGATTACACGTAGCAACTGACTGTGGGTATGTGGATTTGTGTAGCCACTGACCATGTTTCTACCTACTGTCGACTTAGACACACCGATCTATCTTTTCTTTGCTATCCTCAATCTATGGGCACTGACTTGTTAGTACTGAAAGGTGTCCCAAACTCTCCACAAATGGCCCAGACTCCTTAAACGTTTTCATTTTAACTCTTTCCATACTGGTCACTCATTCATGATAAAGTAAGAGTCCAAAAAGTACTGAGATCAATTAGTGAACTTAAGATCCATCACATGTAATAATCAAGAGGGAGGCTGATAAATTTAGGAAATATTCTAAATACAATGGAGTAGATAGAATATAACTACTGCCTTTACAGGGCCTTTCCTGATACCACTAAAGGAAACTGTCCCTCCATAAAGCCGGGTTTTTTTTTGTTTTGTTTTTGTTTTGCCCCCAGGAAAGACAAACTTATTCCCTTAAAACTTGAATGGCACTAAAATCTCTTACTTTCCATTTCATTTTAAGCAAGTTGTTTGTCTTTTAGCTACTAATAGATGGTAAGGCCTCTGAAGCAGGATGTGTCTCTGATTGATCTTGGTACGCCCCAAAGGATAAAGGGCACTGACGCTGAAAATGATATAATAAGATGACGAGGTAGAGAAGGAGAACGAAGGGAAGAGGGAGAAAATGGGGGGCGGGGGGCGAAAGAGAGAGAAGAGGAAGTAGGAGGAACAAGGAGAAAAGGAAAGAAGGGTGAAGAGGGGGAAAAGAGTGAAGTGGGGGAAGAGGAGATAGGAGAAGGTGGAAAATGGTACAAAGAGAAAAGCCAGGAGAGGAAAGAAAGGGCAAGAGGGGAGCAGAAAAGAAGAATGAGGAAAGAAACATTTATTAGGCACTTACGATTACAACTGCCCCTCCCCCCACTTTCTAGCTTGTGCAGATTATTTAAGCTTTTTCTGAACCTCATGTCTCCATGTATAAAATGAGGATAATTTAGAGTGCTTGTGAGGATTAGGAGTTAATATATATAAAGCACTTGGAAAATGCCTGGCACACAGTAAGCACAGTTTAAGCTATTCAGTTCAAATAAAAATTATTGCAAGTGAAGTTAAGTAGTTTGCCCTAGATAATAAGGCTAATAAGAGTTAGAGCCAGAACTCAAACCCAGGCAGTTCACTCTCTGTTCTTTAATGGCTAAGTATACAGCCTCCCACATATATGCATTTACGAAACAGAACAACGATGTTTTTGGTAGAGAACGTTCTCTGCATAAATGTACTCTTTCCTGCTGATTTTATTAATCACCACTAATTTGGTCAACCTATATAGTTTATAAAGGTTTCCCTGAGGCACAAGAGAAAAAGGATTTGTGCTAGTTGTACCAGAAGGAAGGACAGGATCTTGAGGACAGACTATGTTAGGAGAAGAAAATTTGGGAATATTGTTGAAGAGCATGAATACAGACATAGAAAGAAAGTAGTATTCAGTCTGATAAAAGAAGGAATGAATCATTTAAAGATTTGTGCTAACATTCTCTGTAAAATCATATAAATTTGGTGGGGGGGAACAAGAGTGACACAAAATATAATCCACAAAAACGTTACCACATTTTGACTATGTTTATAAACACAATCAGTTCAACTGCTTGCAATAAATAAGTCTCTAAATATAATAATAGTGCCAAAAGATATTTAAATATTTGTGTAAATTTGGGTAAGAGACAGAAAACACAACAATAAATAAGTTGACAGATTATGTAAAAATGTAACAATATGTTAATAAAAAGGTCAAATTATAACTTTTACATATGCAAAATATATAACCCATAAGAATTTCTGTCCCCAACACACGAAGAGCACCCCAAAGTGGTAAAGGAAAAAGATACAAATAGAAAAAGTGCCAAAGCCTATTCACACAAGCAGTAAGTATATGAAAACATGGTAAATCTAAAATAATTATCAAGGGAATAAATTTTGAAGCAAAAATTGAGTACTTTCTTTTACACAAAAACTTAAAAATTAAGAAAAGTGAAGTGGGTATTGACAAGGCTGAGTGAAAATAGGCGCAAACACAAGACTAGTGAAGTCGTGACTAGGATACTGCCTGCAAACAGGCAATCCCACTTTAGGAATCCATCCTGGCTTTTTTGTTTGTTTTTGTTTTTGTTTTAACAGTACCTAGGATATCTGCACAATAAAGCAAGGGAAATAACAAGGAGAGAAAAAAATGGAATGTTCAACAATATAGGGAAGGTGGAATAAAACATAATGTAACCTGTTAGGGAAAGTAGGCAGCTTTTAGATGAGCTAACCACTGTCTACTGTTCTAGAGGGAATGCCCATCACATGTTACTAAGTAAAAAAAGCCTAAATATATTTGTGCATTTTTGTATAGACACAAAGGAAGTTATGGAAGTGAATGATTCAAGCTATTCACACTGATTATCTCAGGGGATGGGATTAATTTTTCTTTGAAAAATTTTATAAAGCATACCTTAATTTAATAAGCTAAAAGAAAATTAATAATGCCACTTGTGAAAGGAAATAAAAATGTGAAGGAAAATGAAAAATTAACTGAAAACGCTTAGACTCTGATTACAAGAATATTAAATAGTACTTAGCAGCCACTGAGGTTGTTATAAATGACTTTAGTTAAGTTACCCAAAGAAGACAGTGTTTTATCTCTTAGAATAATTGATCGCATCGTCTCAAACTGTCTAGCCCAGGATTCATCACAAGGCAGAAAATAACATTGTTTCCCAAAATAATTATTTAAAGATGTCTTTATATGCTAATGACATCCAGAGGGAAAAAACAGTAACAAAAACATTAACAAATGAAATATAATCTCCATATCACCTAGTTAAAATAATGATTGGGGAACAGAATGAGGATAGATCAATGACAAGAAAACATATATAATTTTGCAGAAGGCCTCTTCATTGAGACAAAGAAGGAAACACAGAAAAAGCTGCCAAAAAGAAGAAGACTTGAGGGCTCTTACCCTAGAGAAAACCTTCCAGGACACATTTTTTTGAATATTTGTTCTATGCCAGTCTCTGTATTTTATTCATACATTTTATGTTTATTAATCAATATAATTTTAGCTAATTTCCATAACACTCCCATGAGGCTGATGTTTATCATCTGAATTTTATGGTAGAAAGCCAGGACTGAGTGATATGAAGCCACCTGCATTGGTGTCACACAGATTCAAAAGGTCTTCTCTCCTTCTCCTCCTGCTTTCTTCATTGAACAACATATGCCCTTGACCGGCACAGAGAAATAATCCTGCTCCACCTCCTTCACAGGATGCAGTTTTACTTTTTCGAAAATCCTGGCCCTTGTCTGTAATCTGCTTTGCTTGCATGCCCAACAGAGGTGCACAGTCATCAAGCCGCAGCAAGAGGGCAATGCAAAGTTGCTCCACAGCACAAGTGACAGGTCCCCAAGCACACTCTCTCGTGAAGCTAGGTTCGTGGTTTGTTTTTATGAATGGAGAAGTGGGGAAGGGAGGCACCATCACAAAATCACATGAGGCTTCTAGACAGCATATTTCATTCTAGTTAGTAAACAAACAAATTTAATATTCAATTCCATAACTGAGAAATCAGCATAAGCAATGTAAATTTTATGGGTTAGTAGGAAATTAAAACATACAGACTGCTACTTCCACCCCTGCAATGGGAATTAACCTCTCACTGCAGCCACTTAGAAAAGCCACACAAAAGAAGTAGAAATTCAGACAGCGGAAAAATGACAGCTCTGGGCAGTGATTACTGTATGATTCTATAATGGTGGATACATGTCACACATTTGTCCAAATCTATGCAATGTAAAACACCAATTGTGAACCCTAACATAAACTACAGACTTTGGGTGACAATAATGTGTCAATGTTGGTTCCTCAATTGTAAAAAAAAATTCTATCACTCTGGTGAGGGATGTTGATAACGGGGAAACTAGCAATGTGTGGGGATATGTGCTATCTTGGCTGTCTTTGTATCCTTTCCTCAATTTTCCTGTGAGCCTAAAAACTGCTCTTAAAAAATAGTCTTAACAGAATGGGCAATGGATCTGAATAGAGGAGAAAACAATCTGGCAATAAATGATTAAACATGGAGTTACAATAAAAACATATGGCAATTTTATTCCTAGGTGTATACTAGATATAGAGAGAAATGAAAACATGTGCATACAAAATCTTATACACTACAACTTGGAGGAACCTTGAAAACATTATGCCAAGTGAAAGAAGCCAGGCACAAAAGTCCACATAACATATGATTCCTTCCATTTGCAAATACCAAAGAGGAAAACCTAAAGGGACAAAAAGTAGATTAGTGGTTGTCAGGGCTGGGGGAAAGAAAGAGGATGATAGTCGAAGGGTACAGGTTTCTTTTTGAGGTGGTAAAAACGTTCAGAATTGGCAGCAATGAAAGAGAGTTCCTGTTGCTCCGCATGCTTGCCACTACCGAAAATGGAGATGGTTGCAGCTATCTATGAACACTAAAACCTCTGGACTGTAGACTTTAAATGGGTAAATTATTTAGAACATGGTTATAACTGAATAAAGCTGTTAAAAAGTAGTAAGAAAAACGTTATCAGACAGCTTCATCTAACTGGTATTTCTAGAATATTCCAGCCACCACCAACAGATATATACATTCTCTTTAACTTGCACATGAAACATTCTTCAAACTAGACACTATTCTAGGCCAGGGAGCAACATTTTAAAAAATTTTTTTGAAACGGAATTTCACTCTTGCTGCCCAGGCTGGAGTGCAATGGTGCGATCTCGGCTCGCAGCAACCTCTGCCTCCCAGGTTCAAGCGATTCTCCTGCCTCAGCCTTCCGAGTAGCTGGGATCACAGGCATGTGCCACCACACCCGGCTAATTTTGTATTTTTAGTAGAGACAGGGTCCATGTTGGTCAGGCTGGTTTCCAACTCCTGACCTCTGGCCCGCCTCAGCCTCCCAAAGTGCTGGGATTACAGGCATAAGCCACCGCACCAGGCCTTATAATTTTTTTCTTAAAGAGCAAGACAGTCAATATTTTAGGATCTACGGGCTATAAGGTCTCTGTCACAACTACTTAACTCTGCCACGGCAGCATGATAGCAGCCGTAGAAAATAAGAAGATAATAGGCATGGCTGTGCTCCAGGAAAACTCTGTTTAGAGTAGTTTGCCAACCCCTGTTTTAGGCCATAAAACAAGATTCAATCGATTTAAGAGGGTTGAAATCATAACAAGTATATTCTCTAACACATACCTTTCTCTCTTTTCTCCCTTCTTCAAAGTAATCAACTGTAATTAGTACTCTCTAGAATGGACTATGACTGCTATCAGAATTAGTTGAGGCTTTAAAACCTCCATTTATATAAAGCAGGCCTGTATTAGTCCATTCTCACACTGCTATGAAGAAATATCCGAGACTGGGTAATTTATAAAGGAAAGAGGTTTAATTGACTCACAGTTCCGTATTGCTGGAGAGTCCTCAGGAAACTTACAATCATGGCAGAAGGCAAAGGAGAAACAGGCACCTTCTTCACAGGGTGGCAGGATGGAGTTAGAACAAGCAAGGGAAATGACAGATGCTTATTAAACCATCAGATCCCGTGAGACTCACTCACTATCACAGGAACAGCACGGGGGAACCGCCCCCACGGTCCAATTACCTCCTCCTGGTCCCACCCTTGACACGTGGGGATTATGGGGATTACAACTCGAGGTGAGATTTGCGTAATGACACAGAGCCAAACAGTATCAAGATCCTTGAATAACGTCCTTTCATTCAAGGTCATTTCCTTATAAGGTTGATGAGGAAAAAACCTGGCTAGGGCCATTAAATGTATAGGGTCTGCATGATCTCACCACATCTATGTGGGCTTTCTCTAGGTACTCTGGTTTCTACCTACATCCCAAAGATGTGCACTTTCGGTGAACTGGCTGTCTACACAGTCCCACTGTGAAAGTGAGAGTGAGTGTGTGTGTGTGTGTGTAAGTGTGCCTCAGAGTAGAATGTGTCCTGTCCTGGATCAGTTCCCTCTTTGTCCCCTGAGCTGCCCAGAAAAGCTCCAACTGCCCATCACCCTGAACTGAAATAAGCTGGTAAATAATTATCTTGCTTGTTGTTTTCATTGATCTTTCTTCACTTGATCTTAGCTAAAAGGCTGAGAAGTGATTTTTATTGATTTTTCTTAAATGTACATATAGCTCATATTTATTTCAGTGTTAAATACTAGAAGTGTTTGGTCTTTATTCAGAAGTTTGGTGATGTTTTTGTGACAAGAAACATGCTGTAGGAACTTAACTCTTGCTGATACCAATTAGCCTAGGGTAAAATGGGTTTTCTTTTATGTCATTTTGGTTAAAATCAGTTTCTAAAAAACTATCAACAATGTTAAGGATTTACTGTACACAATAATACTGATATTAATTGAAACCAATTATATTAAAGCAAGTTAAAAATTTTAATTTTCCTAATCATATTGTATCCTACTTATTTACACTAGTTTAAGTTGTCGCACTAGATTATATATTTAGTTAGATCTTATATTTAGTATTTATTCATAATTATATTTAATGAATATACAGCTAATTTTGAAATATTTTATAGTTCAGGCACACACAAATTTTGAAAAAGATACATTTTAAAAAGTCACTTTATTATTGCCTTACATTATAATTTCAAATTTTAATCAGTACCTAAAATGTTACATAAAGATTATTCTTAATATAAAACAGTAATTTCATAATCACAAATTTAATTAAAAAATTTAATATTCAGTGTAACATTTGCTAAGATACTATTATATTAGGCTTAGTATGATTTATCAGAAATGATTTCACTGTATCTCCAATGCTAGCAGTTTAGTATTATACATTTAGGTGGTAGAATGTGTTGTCAGTAACTTTCACGACTCATGATGACAGATTTTCCCTATAGGAAAGAAAATATCTTGTCTGCTTTTATGGCTTTGCTAGGATTTCAAGGTTCAGAAAACTCTATATAAGTGTCCAGCAGCTTCTGGAAATGAGATTATGTCCAGTCTAGAGAACCAGTTTACATTTTTAACGACCTGTCTAGTTGGAGAAAAGGAAGGATGAGATATAAGGAAGAAAAAGGTAAAGTCAATAGCAAACCTAAAGTAAAAAAGGTTTTTGATGAAAAGCAGTTTAAAATTTACTATCAACTTTTTGCCCAAAATGTACTGTCTCCTTTGCTCTAGAAAAAGAAAGATGAAATCGCTAAGAAAAGAGGACAAAGGAAATAAAACTTATAGAATATTAACAATACATACATGAAGAGCAAAAACTGTGTGCACATAATTGTATACAATTGAATTAGGTACTACATATGAGATACAATAAACAATACATTAATTTTTATGTACTACATATAACCTAGCAAATTTTCTCTGAGGTGATTAATACGGCAAGAACTAAATAGGAGTTTCTGTGAAGATAGTTTCTGTACTAAATCACATGTGTTATATGATGTGATTCCAAAAAGCAAAATTTATAATTACACTGAAGCACATGGACTATAGTCATTTTATTCTCTTTCATCGTTCCTGAAAGATGCTGAGAAAAAGAAAAGTGGGTTGCCATTTACTTAATTAAGGCTTACTGCTGCCCATCTAAACACACGGCAAGCAGAATGATTTAATATAAAACTCTTCTAACAAGCCACCACCATCTATTCCTATAAGATAGGCAAGTCACTATGGCATTCTATAAGCTGATTCAATCAACCTTTCTAATCATATTTCTCAACATTCTCTTATGTAAACAGTATACAATCTTAATTTTAAAATAAAAAAAACCAATATGTGAGTCTTGTAAATAACAAGAATAAGAACAATATTTTAGACAGAGTTTGAGATTGTAGAATATTTCAGGGTCCAAGTTCAGCTAAAAGTTGCAAACGCAGAAGGAAAGCTCAGGAGAGGCCAGAGCCAAAACTACACACTGGTGAATCCTCCATCTATAGGATACTTAATCAAATTCATCAAATATTTATTAAATATATATTTTATATATACTAGACTACTGATACAATAGTTGTCACAGTCCCAACAGGTTTGAAGTCTAAGAGTAGGGATAGACAAGCCAGGCCATCATGGAACTGACACTATAAGTAATTGACAGAGTGCTACAGTGGCACACAAGAAGTGCCAGGCTTGGGGGAGCAAGCTAGTAAGAGAAAAGGAAGGAAAGGCTTCCTAGTAATTGATAGGACAAGAAAAGTCCAAATAAATAAATGAAGCCATGGCAAGAGGGTGAGAGAGAAAAATAATACCCAGATTCAGGGAATAGAAAGAAAAGTAGGAAGACAAAAGTGTTTGTAAAAGAAATGGTATGAAATGAGGGAGGAGCAAGGAAGACCATGAAGGCCACTTCATTTCTTAGCTCACAGCTTGCTATGTTCTGAATATCTATGCCTCCCCCCGCCAAAATTCGTATGTTGAAACCTAATTCTCGATGTGATGGTATCAAGAGGTAAGGCCTTTGGGGGAGGATTAGGTGAGATTAGTGTCTTTATAAAAGAGGCCTGAGGCGGTCTGCCCCTTCCACTATGTGGGGACAAAGTGAGAAGATACCATTTATGAACCAGAAAACAGTCCCCCACCAGACACAGAAGCTGCTAGTGCGATGATCTTGGACACTGCAGCCTCCAGAACTGTGAGAAATAAGCTTCTGTTGTTTATAAACCACACTGTTTATAATATTTTGTTACAACAGCCCAATCACTTAAGGTCAGTATTGTTATGTGTGAATTTGATCCTGTCATTATGATGCTAGCTGGTTATTCTGCAGACATATTTACGTGGTTGCTTCATAGTGTCACTGGTCTGTACTTCAATGTGTTTTTGTAGTGGCTGGTAATGCCACTACAAATATTTCAGGGTCCTGAAAAGGACCATATTTAGTGCTTGCTTCAAGAGCTCTTGCAAGGCCTGGTGGTGACGAATTCCCTCAGCATTTGCCTATTTGAAAAGGATTTTATTTCTCCGTCGCTTATGAAGCTTAGTTTGGCCAGATATGAAATTCTGGGTTGGAAATTCTTTTCTTTAAGAATGTTGAATATTGGCCCCCAATCTCTTCTGGCTTGCAGAGTTTCTGCTGAAAGGTCTGCTGTTAGCCTGACGGGCTTCCCTTTGTAGGCGGTATGGCCTTTCTCTCTGGCTGCCCTAAACATTTTTTCTTTCATTCTGATGGTGGAGAATCTGATGATTATGCATCTTGTGGTAGATTTTCCCATGGAGCACCTTATTGGGATTCTCTGCATTTCAAGAATTTGAATGTTGGCCTATCTTGCTAGTTTGGGAAGTTCTCCTGGATGATATCCTGAAGTGTGTTTTCCAACTTGGTTCCATTCTCCCTGTCTCTTTTGGGTACCTCAGTCATAGGTTCAGTCTCTTTACATAATCCCATATTTCTCAGAGGTTTCGTTCATTCCTTTCATTCTTTTTTCTCTATTCTTGTCTGCCTATCTTATTTAAGTAAGATAGTCTTCAAGTTCTGAAATTCTTTCCTCTGCTTGGTGTATTCCACTATTGATATTTGTGATTACGTTGTGAATTTCTCATGTTGTGTTTTTCAGCCCCATCAGGTTGGTTATGTTTCTCTCTAAACTGGCTATCAGCTACTGTATTGTTTTTATCATCATTCTTAGCTTCTTTACATTGGGTTACAACATGCTCCTTTAGCTCGGTGAAGTTCATTATTACCCACCTTCTGAAGCCTAGTTCTGTCAACTCAGCCATCTCAGCCTCAGCTCAGTTCTGTGCCCTTGTTAGAGGGGTGTTGCAGTCATTTGGAAGAAACGAGGCACTCTGGCTTTCTGAGTTTTCAGCAATGTAAGTGGGCTGAATGCCCCAATTAAAAGACACAGAATGGCAAGCTGGACAAAGAGCCAAGAAACAGTGGTATGCTATCTTTAAGAGATCCATCTCATGGGCAAAGACACACATAGACTCAAAATAAAGGGATGAAGGAAAATTCACCAATCAAGTGAAAAACAGAAAAAAAAAACAGTGGTTGTAATAGCTGGAAAACCCCATTGTCTCAGCCCAAAAGCTTCTTAAGCTGATAAGCAACTTTAGTAAAGTCTCAGGCAAAAATTGCTAGCATTCCTATAAACCAATAACAGCAAGCAGACAAGCAAATCATCAATAAGCTGCCATTCACAACTGCTCATAAGAGTGAACAGACAACCTACAGAATAGGAGAGAATTTTTGCAATCGATTCATCTGACAAAGGTCTAATATCCAGAGTCTACAAAGAACTTAAACAAATTTACAAGAAAAAAAAAAACAACCCCATTAAAAAGTGGGCAAAGGGCCGGGCGCGGTGGCTCACGCCTGTAATCCCAGCACTTTGGGAGGCCGAGGCGGGCGGATCACGAGGTCAGGAGATCGAGACCATCCCGGCTAAAACGGTGAAACCCCGTCTCTACTAAAAATACAAAAAATTAGCCGGGCGTAGTGGCGGGCGCCTGTAGTCCCAGCTACTTGGGAGGCTGAGGCAGGAGAATGGCGTGAACCCGGGAGGCGGAGCTTGCAGTGAGCCGAGATCCCGCCACTGCACTCCAGCCTGGGCGACAGAGCGAGACTCCGTCTCAAAAAAAAAAAAAAAAAAAAAAAAAAAAAAAGGGGGCAAAGTACATCAACAGACACTTCTCAAAACAAGACATACATATGGCCAACAAATGAAAAAGAGCTCAACATCACTGGTCATTAGAGAAATGCAAATCAAAACCACAGAGATACCATCTTACCATCTCGTGCCAGTCAGAATGGCTATTACTAAAAAGTGAAAAAACAACAGATGCTCATGAGGTCAAGGAGAAAAAGGAATGCACTGTTGGTGGGTGTGTAAATTAGTTCAACCATTGTGGAAGACAGTGTGGCCATACTTCAAAGACCTAGAGGAAGAAATACCATTTGACCTAGCAATTCCATTATTAGGTATATATCCAAAGACATATAAATGGTTCTATTATAAAGATACATGCACACATATGTTCACTGCAGCACTATTTACAATAGCAAAGACATGGAATCAACCTAAATGCCCATCAATGATAGACTGGATAAAGAAAATGTGGTACATATACACCATGGAATACTATGCAGCCATAAAAAGGAACGAGACCATGTCCTCATGTCCTTTGCAGGGACATGGATGGGGTTGGAAACCATTATCCTCAGCAAACTAACACAGGAACAGAAAATCAAACACCGCACACTCTCACTTTTAAGTGGGAGCTGAGTGATGAGAACATATGGACACATGGTAGGGAACAACACACACTGGAGCCTGTTGTTGAGGGGAGGGGAGGGAGAGCATCAGGAAGAATAGCTAATGGATGCTGGGCTTAATACCTAGGTGATGGGATGATCTGTGCAGCAAACCACCATGGCACACGTTTACCTATATAACAAACCTGCACATCCTGCACATGAATCCCTGAACTTAAAATAAAAGTTGAAGAAAAAAAAAATAACAGCCCAATCAGACTAAGACATAGCTGACTTCTCATTCAATCACTTGTATTTACATGTGGCTAGCCATGCTACAATTTTTAAAGAATGAGTGACTTTGCAGGATCTCTTAGCCCCAAAATAGAGCTTTGTATAATATTAACGTATTCAATAAAAGTTGTACAAGTAAACATTTCCTCTGGCTCTGAACATCAGGTCACTTCCTCTTCAGTCATTTGTTGTAATTATTTGTTTTCCGAAAGAGGCCAGAAGGGGTGAGAAGAATGAAAGGTTATTTTAATAGAAACTAACCTACGGAGTTATTTTCCTAGAAGAACGTGGTAGCGGCAGTAGGGTAAGGTAGTGCCAGAAAATGCGATATATACATTTAGAAGACTCATGCTAACCCCTATGTAGTCCAGAGTGGAAGGTTTCATCTTTTCTGATTTACAAACATGAAAGAGTCCCAAAGTATATTTATAGGTTAATGCCAATTCTTCACCTTAACAAATATAAAAAGCTAGCTCAATGATAGTGAATTACTTTGTGTAATTTGTTTGCTTTATGCTTCTCTCTGTGATTCAGCTGAGACATAATCCACAGAATTCAATAAATACAGCTAGTGATTAATGCCATTAGGGTCACTAATAGGTTGTCTGATCCTCCCAAGTTTTCCAAAGCAAAGAGTAATAAGCTGCCTAGCTACAGTTTCTGCTAGTAGAGTGTTTTTCATCTTGATTCTGCCTTTCCAATACAGCTTCCCTCACAGCAGGAACTAAAACCTTACTTAAGAAAATGACACAAACACACGAAAAAGAAATTTCTTATGGCATACACTTTCTTGGTGAAGTAAGTACTGTATTTTCTACCTTGGATAGTTTCTGTTTTTATCTTGCTGCTGCCATCCATTATATAGATGTATGAGTCACTGTCCTAAAAGACAGAGACTAAAGCATGGGTGGTTCTCTACGGTATTTAATACTGATCTCTGCATTATAGGAATCCAAAAGAATGCAGCCAGATGATAATGGCTTGGGTACAGGCCACCCAGAAATCATAAAATCATGAGATGACTATTATTAAAATTAAAAAGAATATTAGGAAAAACATTTAAAAGAAATACAAAAGACAAAGGGTGAGTATCCTTGTTCAAACAGAGTTGATCCCAATAGCTTATAAAATGAAAATAAAATCATATAGGAAAAATGAAATAGAAAAAAGACATGACACAAAAGGGAAGGAATTTAAATAGCAGATATATAATCTCTAATCATACACACACACATACACACACACACACACACACACACACATATTTTCCAATGCCAAAGACTTCCATATTGCTAAATCTAATGGTCAATTATCCTATGTTACTTTACCCATCAGATATATATAACACAAATGATCACTCTGTATTCCTTGATTTTCTTTCATCATTTAAGGACCATGACCATAGTTTCCTGGTTGTCCCCTAACTCATGGGTTACTCCTGCTTTGTCCCTCGGAATTTTTAACACTGGAGTATTCCACAGCTCAGTATCTGTACTGTCTGCAGTCATTAGGTTATTTTCACTGTCTCATGGCCTTATATGGCTTTCTATATACTGATGACTCTGTATCCAACAACCTACTCAATGTGAGGTGGATAAATAACTCAAACTTAAATCACTGAATCTCTTCTCTTTCCCCCACTGTAACCACTACTCTTACAATCTCCCCAATCTAAGGAAAAATCATTCTTTTCTAGTTGTTTAGTTCAAAATCCTTGACTTTTCTTGGAGTCATCCTTCACTTTTCTTTCTTGCACCTAGTAACTGATTTGTCAGCCAGTTCTATAGGGGAAAATACATTCTCAATCTGGCTCTTTCTTTGCATCCTCCGTGGTACAATCCTGAAAAAACAGCTGATGGCATTCCTCTGCTGAAAACCTTCCAGTGACTTCCCATCTCATTCATAGTAAATCATCAATACTATCTACAAAGGAACTTTAAGATCTACCCTGTTATCTTTCTGATCACTCTCCTTCCTAGTAAGTTCCCCTCATTATCTCCACTTGCAGATTGTTTGCACAATTATCCATAATTATTTCCTCCTCCCAATCTATACCCCTTTATAATGTGACTTTCCAGACTGTTTCATCACAAGCTATTAATATGCATCCCTTTCCCCACCTCAATAATTTGTATTAGCCTTGAAACCTGCTTTCACTTAAAAAATGCAGTAGAAGTGACAGCATGGCAGTTAGGAATAGAGGCTTCAAGTGGAGCTGCAGCCTTCCCTTTGCTCTCTTGGAACCCTCCCCTGTTACCATGAGAGTAATTCTGAGCATGCCTGATGGATGGAGGATGAGACTGGAGTCAGGTACAGCTTACAGACATCCAACCTCTAAACATGTGGGTCCTTTCTACATGCTGACATCATCAACAAAACTGCCTACCCAACTGTGATATCATGATATAAGAGGAAATATACATTTGGTCTTCACCTCTCGTTTCCGATAAAAGAGTTGCCAAGACCCTTGGAAGCTCCACAGTAATGGGTGTCTTTCGGTGTCCTGATGAGATGACTGGTGGCTGGGGGCCTCGAGGAGAGTTTCAAGTTGGAGGCTGATACCCAAGAAAGACAAAGGCATGATCAGAGTGTGGAACGTTCATACCCACCACTCCCAGTGGAGCTACAGATTATGCTAATCACCGATGGCCAATGATGTAATCAATCATGCCCATGTAACAGAACCCCCATTTAAAAACCCTAAACAATGTGGTTCAGAGAGCTTTCAGGTTGGGGAACATATCCACATGCCGGGAGGGTAGTGTATCCCAAAGCCAAGGGGGACAGAAGCTCCTGCCTTAGGACTTCTCCAGATCCCACCCTCTGTACCACATCAGCTGGCTGTTCACATTCATCCTTTATAACATCCTTTTATAATAAATTGTAAACATAAGTGTTTCCCTGAGTTCTGTGAGCCATTATAGCAAATTACCAAACACGAGGAGGGAGTTCTGGGGACCCACTAGTTGCAACTGGCATTTAAAGTGCATGGCAATCTAGTAGGACTAAGTCCTTTACCTGTGTGTGTGTTGGAGGGTGGTGGTCTGTGCTTACTCTGAATAATGTCAGATTGAATTAAATTGTCGGACACCCAGTTGGTGGCCACAGACAACTGGCAAATTGTTTGATGTATAAAACCCAGATGTTTAGTGGCAGAAGTGTTGTGAGTACAGGAACAGTTTTCCTTTACCAACCCACGTAACTGGCACATGAATGAGCCCACAAGATCTGCCTAGCTGACCTTAGACTTGTGAGTAAATAAATAAATCAGTGTTTAAAGCCATTAATTTTGGGGGTAGCTTATGATACAGCAAAAGCTAACTGATATCATTCTCATGTCTCAGGGCCTCTGCACAAGCATCCCCACTTCCTGGAAGGTTCTTCCTTTGGCTGAGCAAATGGCTTGCTTCTCCACCCCCTGCAGGTCTTAACTCAGAAGTCACCTGCTCAGTGAGGCTCTCCCTCACTTTAACTGCTAACAACCTACTGCAAAGCATGCTACCTCTTCTCCTGCGTTATTATTCTCCTTCTCACTAGTAATATACTTAATATTTTAATTATTTGTCTTGCTTATTTCCTCTATGGGAGGTCAATGAAGTCAAGTATTTTGCTCTCCGCTGCATCATAGGTGACTACAATAATGCCTGTTATATAGAATGACTCCATAATTAAAATATGCTAAAATAATAATGGAATATGATTTCCTACATAATATATCAAAAAAACTTAAGTTAATAAATCTGGCAAGAGCAGAGAGAAATGTAAATTGTCTTATACTGTTGATGAAGGTTAACTTAAGCAACAATATTCTGGAAAGCAAGTTGTCAACTTAGACTTAAATACATTTTTTAAAATTTATAACTTCTGGAGCATGTCTTAACGTCTGTGAAACTACTGTAAGTGTCACAAACTCATACACTTATAATACTACTTAATGTTTTTATAATACTTAACAAAGTTTTATTTACCAAAGATTTACTTATAAAAAACTTATAAGCTGTCTGGGCGCAGTGGCTTACGCCTGTAATCCCAGCACTTTGGGAGGCCAAAGTGGGTGGATCACCTAAGGTCAGGAGTTTGAGACCAGCCTGGCGAAACCCCGTCTCTACTAAAAATACAAAAATTAGCCGGGCGTGGTGGCGCACGTCTATAGTCCCAGCTACTTAGGAGGCTGAGGCAGGAGAATCATTTGAACCCGGGAGGCAGAGGTTGTAGTGAGCCAAGATTGCGCCACTGCACTCCAGCCTGGGTGACAAAGTGAGACTCTGTCTCAAAAAAAAAAAAAACACACAACTTATGAGCTACATAACTTTCTGATATATGGAGAATGGTTGAGAGATAAAAATGTAACAAAATTTATATATAATGACTTGGTAGCATGTTCATAATATAATGTTAAAAACAGGCATGATATAAAGCAATATATAGATAAAAATCTGTATTTCATTACATGTACACACATACATACACAGAGCAATAAACATACAAAAATGTAAAATTGAAAAAAATTATATATGTAAAAATATTAACAGACGTTATCTATAGAAGTGGGATTTTAGGTTATTTTAACTTTTTTCTTTATGTCTTCCTCTATTCCCCAAATTCATTATAATAATCCTATGTCCATAGGTGGGGGAAAAGTTAGAGGCGATAGCAGAGAATTTGCCTTTTAAAATATATAAAGTTTAAAAGAAAGGTAAATACTAAATGATACAAATTCGAGGTGTTTAATTTATCTTTATATATTTTGTAATTATGACTGCATCAAAAATTACTTGAATACGGTTTTATTTAAAATTGAACAAATAAGCTCAATTAAAATAAATAAGTTCAGTTCAGATTTCTGTCACACAATTTGGCTAAAATCTCACTTTGATAATCCTTGCCTCCTGTATTCTTACTTGATTGCATCCTATTAAAAGCATTAGAGGGCATCAGTGTAATGCATAATCACTAACTCTCTCCTCCCACATCAGAATTAAGCTTTGGCAAGCAACTGCCACATGGAGAAAAGTCGCTGGGAAAGCCCTATTACTGCTAATAGGAATCATAAGACCACACTATTATGCAAAAATGTTCTTTTTACTGACTGATAAAATGCCAAGATGACACAAACTGGAGTTGTTTTTCTTGTTCCTAACACATGGAACAGCTCTCCAGTTACTAATAACCAACTAATGTATAGTCGAGCAGAAAAAAAAATTGAATATACACTAGAGGCCGCTAGTGATAAATAAGTGAATTTTGCATGAAGTGGAAAAAAAATGCTGCTAGTTCTACAAAGAAAACTGCATACTAAGCTCCTAAGCTTCAGCTGCCCTTTTAACTACTGTGCTGGAAGCCACAAAGCAATTTTTTTCTTAATTATTTCTCGCCTTAAATATTTTTTAACAAAAGAACTAAATCTGGGAAATTTTCATATTGGGAAATTTTGTAAAAACTTATTATTATTGTATATTTAAATTAAAGCCTTACCTTTAAGTAATAAAACCTTTTTAGATATTACAAATTAGAAAAATAATGTTATTCTCTCACTTTGTTGTCACAAAGACCCAAACCAACTAAAGAAAGCTCTATGTTGTAAAATATAAGCTTGTCTTGGTAATATTTCATTAAGAGGGGGGAAATATTTTTAAATGCAAAAGATATCTAAAAAAAATTTACAACCCTCTCCCTGGAAATTTATGAATCATAAGAGTAAAATTTTAAAGTTTACTTGGAAACAAATGTAACATGAATTCAGAAAACAAGAATCTTTTGATTAAAAAAAATTTTATAAAACTAAAGAGGAATTATACTTCCTACATACTTTTTTAAATTTGCAAAGAACGTTATTAAATTTCTCAGAATACACAAGAGGCATTTTTGTCACTTATTTGCATGACAGATGACCATTTCATTCCCTTTCACTGTCATTACATAGTGAGGAATAAAAACAGTTCCCAACCAGGGGCATTTTATACCCCAGTAAGTTAGGGACGTGTGTGGGGAGGCAGAAGTAAGGAGGAGATTAATAAAGACCATTAGACTATCCTAGGGCAAGAAGACAGCACAGGCAGCAGAGAAAAGATGCTGTTGATGTATACGCATGAGGATTCTTTTTGTTTTTTTTTTTGTTTGTATTTATAGTTGGCTGGTCCCACTTAGGCGTGCAGAAACTAGCATGGTCT
The DNA here is from genome assembly GCF_000001405.40 of Homo sapiens. Lineage (NCBI taxonomy): Eukaryota > Metazoa > Chordata > Mammalia > Primates > Hominidae > Homo > Homo sapiens. The sequence goes on from NC_000007.14 coordinate 144,671,462, forward strand.
CAGTCTTGACCGGAGGCAAATCCCACTCCAGAAACAAACACAACCAATAGAAACAAGGACATGGGCAGATATTCTCTCAGAACCACCTCAACTCAGTTGAACACCATATTACACTAGAAAAGAGACACAGGAATTCACCTGTAGTACACCCAGTGGCCGGCTCACAGGTGGCTAAGTGCAAGTCCTAACTTGTTCTTAGAGTGCAAGCATAGCTGTGGATCTGGCTTCCAGCTTCCCTTGATTCCTAAATGTTTCCCAAGCCTCCCAATTCCTGCATATTCCCCCAGCCTTCCCACTTTCTCTATTAATTATATCATGTTTGATTTTTGTTTACGTTGGCCAGAGTTCTTGTTCTGTACAACTAAAAACCCACACAAATACAAAAAGTTAAATAAGTCCCAATATTGTTAACAGAAGAGATTTTGGTATAGGTCTCTGATTCTCCTCTTAAATAAAAATAATCTTAAGAATTACCTTTTTGGGTCGGAAACACACATTCATACTGCAATCTGTGACAGTAGGCTATATGAAGTTTTGATGAGTATTTCTAATCATTCTTTAGTAACTCTTAAGCACATAGTTAAGAACTAATTGCTGGGGATAAGACAGTAAAAATGCTAGAGAAATGTATGCTTTCACTGAGGTTACAGGCTGGTGGGAATTTGCAAATAGGTGATTCTAATACGTTGTGATAAATGTTTGATAATAGAAGTGCTGGATAAGAGAACTTCAAGGACAAATTACGTAAGAGAGATGCAGAATAATAATGTAATATAACCTGGTAAGGTAAGAAATCTAGCCACGAAACACCCTTAGTTTATTTAGGATTTGTCACTTACTTGCTTAATTGAATATGTGGGGAAATTATTTTCAGTATGAATTGTCTAAAAGGAGTAACGCTGATTAGTTAAAAATATTTACTTATCATCTATTAGTTATCAAACCTGATCCTAGCTGCTAGGATTATTTCCAAAGATGAGTAAAACAAGAACAGGGAATTTTTCCCAATTAAATAGAAACACCCATGGATAATTTCAACATCATGTGACATTACAGTGAAGGACTGCTTAGAGAATTCATTCCTAACTTGGGTCTGTGAAAACTAAGATTTCTGGGGAGACACAACACATGGGCTGAGTTTTGAAAGATAATGATGCATAACACATGGAAGAAAGCAGGAGGCTTTTAGAAATGAATTACATAGTGTTCTGTAAAAAACAAACAAACAAACAAAAAACTCCAGTTGTACCTAAAACCTGCTCCTTGATATTTCCAAGGGCACTCCGATGGCTTGAAAATAATAGGCTTTTTTCAACATTTAGATGGCACCAAGATTTTAAATAATCTTTTAAACAGTGTTAATGCATACACATCTTCTCCCCACATGGCTCCTCTAGCCCTGGGTATCACACCCAGGTGTCAGCACCCCTACATGACACCCAGCAGAAACAGATGGAACCTGACATCCAAGGTGAAAAGAAAGTGTTCCCTGGTCTAAGCCCTGTAGAGAGGGACAACACCATCTTCCCTGTAGTCTAAGGAGAAGCATTGTTAGTCTCATTCAACAAAAGTGCTCCTTGCAATTCAAAATCACAGGATTTAGAGGAGTCAGCGTTTTTAATATTTACGATTTTTTATTTTAGTTCCTTTTAGTCTAGTCATTGATACACTAAATGCACTCTTATTCCCTTCCTCTGACTTTCTCTAGCTCTCTTCTACTTCCAAAGCCAGAGTTAACTATAGTGTAGTTAAGTATATTGCATATAATGTACACACACACAATGACTTTTTTCTTAGTGTGGTGTAATATCTTCTGTTGTATTTTAAATGCCCTCTCTGAGATTCTTCAGCATATTCTTGACCTTGCTGGCTACAGCAGCAAAACTGAAGTCTTTAAGGAATACACCTCAAACAACTCTCAGATTCCTAACCCCACATTGTAAGTGATAGTTCAGTGCTCATCTTTGTGTAATTGCCATTTGGATATTTTCCCATAAAATTTACTCACTAGCCCTTGCTTAAATTGAATTCCAGCTGTCACTTCTGTTCCCCAACAATTGGAAGACCGTGGATAGCTCAGTTGCAATCCTATCATCAACTAAAATGTCCTGCCCTATAGTGACGTGTCAACAAATAATATAAGTCATCTTGCCTAGTGTTGGAGTTATTCTGTTTGCTCTTGGCCAAATAATACAAATCCCAACTCTTAATAACAAGAAAACCAGGCAGGAAGAATCCGAGGGTGTATTTGCAAGAAGACCTGTATGTGCGATCACATAAGTGTGTATGAAAAACCAGACAGGGACAATTCCACAACTTTTTAAGAAACAATTTTGTTGGTGTGGTATTATGTGATTACTTTCAACCATCACTTCTTAACTCATTGATCTAAAAATCTATTAAAAATAAGTTTAAAACATGACAAGAAAACATGAGCTCTTATATTAACAATCACTAAAACAATTCAACATTTTTTTTAAAAAAAGTAAAATGTAAAAAGCCACGTTACTCAAAACTTTTGACAAATGATCTAGCATTCTCTAAAATATTACTGGAAGATAATTTATTTCTGAAGACTCCATCCACAGTGCAGGAAGGGAAAAGGGTTCTGTCAGGAACATACTTTATGAAATAGAATAGCCATAAAAAACAATGCCTCTGATTAAATTTAGTTGTAAACTGACTTCCTGCAGCTGCTTAAAATGGTCTCGCTCTGAAAATTTATTTTGGGTTCATGCATGATCTGAGAAACATAGCACCTTCGCATACACATTCCTCCCTCCTCTAACACTCCAAAATGATTCATAGCTATGCATGGATAATTTTGAGACCTCTGATTTATAGCATTTGATAACGAACAGACTAAAATATATTACTAAACTAATCTAATCAATAATTTAAGATAAATATGCCTTCACGGTTTGTTGTGTAAGGTTCTTTAATACCAAGACTTCTGTTGTAAATTATATTTTAAATGCACTAATCATTTTTACCTTTCATCATTTTGATTCAAAGACCTAATAATGTTGACATGCTTACACAGCTTGGTAATTTGATTGCATAAATACTTTTTAATGGAAATTTACTGAAGCAAATGACTAATCATTGCTAAGGCTAGGCTTATAAGAATCAACTGAACCAAAGATCTTTGGTTCATATTTGTTTCCTTTCTGCATATGTTAAAGCATATAGAAATTACATGTTTTGACTATTCCATGAGAGGCTTGAAAAGCAGTAAAAAAAAAAAAAAACACAATCAATGAGAAAATTAGTCATAGAGAGACTGAAATCAACTGCCACATATATTGGAGGTTATCAAGATCACAACTTATGCTCAGATACTTGACACCAACTTACTTCACACTGATTTCATGTTTATTGTCTTGCTCCTTTAAAAACAGAATTGAACAAGCTTTTATATACTTTTTACTAAGATATAGCAAATATAGACCTTACATATAAGTCTTTACTACTATTTTATATAATGTCTAGGATTGAGTTGAAAACACTGAGAATTTTGCTTTGTTCCAACTAAAAGAACATGTATTCCAAAGAAGCACATAAAAAAATGATAACAAATTTCAACAAAAAGGCAACTTTTAGAAATCAGGTTCATCAACTGTGTAAAATAAAGAAAGAAAATTGTGGTATACGCATATACTGGAACACTACTCGACAGCAAAAAGGAACAAACTACATAAAATAACATAATAAATACATAAAATACATGGATGAATAAAATAACACGGATGAATCTCAAAAGCATTTGATAAGTGAAAAATAACAGAAAAGACAACAAATTGTGTGATTTCATTTGTATGACATTCTAGAAGTCTACAGGGGACACGGTGTGGGAGGAGGCGAATGACTGCAAAGCGGGAGGTAGGAACTTTCTGGGATGATGGACGTGTTTTAATCTCGACTGTGGTGGTGGGTACACAACTATATAACGCTTCAAAAATAATTGAACTGTATGTTTAAAGTGGATGAATTTTGTTGTATGAAATTATAGCTAAACAAAGTGGATTTAAAACAAAAGAAATCAGATGCCAAACACTACCTTCCTATATGCCAACCACTATCTGAAAAATGCTTACAACGTTTCTGAAAAGTAATACAATTATTACATTCAGAATAGTTAACCATGACAAAAATATTTACAGCTATGGCCTAAAACTACATCAGGTACATGCTGAACTATTCAATAATTTATCATTATAGCTTTTAAGAGCCATGCTCCATCCTCTTGATTTATCCAGATCTTCTGTAATCAGCCACAGTAATGTTACCTCATCAAGATTTCTCTGAATACTCCAAAAGAAAGTGATCTCTTCCTGAAACGTCACAGATGAAGAAACTACAGCCCAAAAAGTTAAATTACTTGCTAAAAGTAATGAAGTGGCAGAACCCGATTTTGAACCTTAATCTAACTCTCTGACTACATAATGTCCCTTCTGGAGGGTGCTGCTACCTGCAATGAAATAAAACAAAATTGTTCAAAGTTACTCACAGGTAGCCAGACTTAGACTGTCACTGATTCACTGATTCCTTCAAGAGTAATCAGACACTTGCTACTACCAGATGCCTGGGTTAATTGTATTGATAAAGGCTTTAGAAGCTAATTCTTTTTTTTTTTTTTTTTTTTTTTTTTTTTGAGACGGAGTCTCGTTCCGTCACCCAGGCTGGAGTGCAGTGGCACGATCTCGGCTCACTGCAAGCTCCGCCTCCCAGGTTCACGCCATTCTCCTGCCTCAGCCTCCCAAGTAGCTGGGACTACAGGCGCCCACCACCATGCCCAGCTAAGTTTTTGTATTTTTAGTGGAGACGGGGTTTCACCGTGTTAGCCAGCATGGTCTTGATCTCCCGACCTCGTGATCCGCCCGCCTCAGCCTCCCAAAGAGCTGGGATTACAGGTGTGAGCCACCACACCCAGCCTAGAAGCTAATTCTTAAGAGCTCTCCTCCCACATTATTCAGTTATTTTAATTATATTTTGAACTTCATTTAGCTGGGGCACAAATAGTTGTAGAGTTAGAGTTACAACAGTCATCCTCTTCACACTTGATTAATCTAAAAAGTAGATTGATCTGATGAGTAAGTTGCATGATTATATAAAGCTCAAAGACCGAAATTTTAACTGTGAGAAAATTAATGAAGTGAGAGGAAAAAGAGATCAAGAACGTATTTTGCTTTTCGGTTTAAATAGGCCCTCGTCATCCTGCCATTGGTAATGAGTGTTTAATTATGTCGTCATTTCCATGAGTGCTAGGAATTTTTGTTAGGTGCTCATATTTAAAGAGAAAGAAAACTCCTAAACAGTTGAGCTAACTTTGAACAATGTTTATATAAAGATACTCTCCTGTAGACCTTTCCATTCAGGATTCTATATTCATTAATTACTCTGAGAAAACTAACCTAAAAACACCCCTCCCCACATTTCAGATATCCTACACACAATATTAAAGATATAGCAACTTCTTAGACTGTTATGCTGATGAGCCTGAGAATCTCTAAGTACCACAAAATCACAAATAAAAAAAAAACCTCACATTTAGCACTGATATTCATGGTACATATTGCTCTCAAAATACCAATGAATTCAAAAGCCAGGACCTTAGTTCCAGGACAAAAGATTCATTTAGACAGGAATTAGAATGCAACGTAACATAAGATATTCTGGAAATAAGTGGGATATATACTATACATGACTTTGGACAAAAATGCACAATCTTTTTAGACATAAGCCATTTCTGGCTTATAATACTAATAAGATATATAATTATCGAAAGTTTCTTTAACAACAAGATACTTCCAATAGCTGGTGTTGTATCTTATAAATCCTTGACTTAACAAAACTCAGTTTTACATCTCTGCTAACATATCAAGGAAAAATCACAAATTCAATAAATTCTCAAATGCTCATTAGTGTAGTAGATATGAAGCATATAAAGATGATTAATTATGATTGCTGCCTTCCAGGAGTTTACCACCTAGTGAAGAAGATACATCTACCCGTAGCTAAATCACAAGATAAAATAAGAAAGTAAATAATTACAAAGTATTATGCAAAGTTAAAGGGCAATAGATCACTAGAAATTTACAACCTAGTACAGAATATAAGTCTTTACAGCTTTAAATCAAGGTAAAATGTGAATGTAACATTGTGATTTAAGAGTATTATTACAGTGTAGGAAATGCCAAATCACTTCAGGCTGGAAGGGAAGAGGAGCCCTCCTGGAGTACATGGTGTGTTAGTTGAACACTGATGCACGGATACGACTGTTACAAAACATGCTGGCACATGCTGCTGAAACCATCTAAGAATGAGTACAGCCTAGGATCTACCATCACTGATTATTTCGAATGGCTGCACAATTGTAATGGACTATGGGTGGGGCTAATGTGTACCAGATCAGCCATGAGAAAGGGCCTGAGGAAAGTCAGAGGGGAGAAAGCGCGTGGCAAATTTAGGACAGTGAGCAGTTCTGCTTGACCAGAATACAAGGGAAGAAATTGGGCATGCCTAAAAAGATAACCCTGCATCTCAAGGTAGTTAATTGAGATTTCATCCAGGAGACAAAGGAGAATCTCCCTGCCTCTCCCCAGTCGCTACAAATGCACACACATATGTATACCTCACATGCTCTATGGTCCTAATCTTTTACAGCCCATTAGGATCCTCAGAATATTTTTTAATACCTTCACTCTGATATAACTGTCCTTGCTCCATGTCTTCCTTTGTTACAGAATCTATCACACTGAACTAGAATTTTCTCTTTATGTCATATAATCTGTCATACTGAATGGCACCAGGGAGCTTATGTTTACTGAGCTTGCATCCACTTAACAAGTAACTACAGAAAAATTAATCATATGTCCTACTGTCCCACAGGTCAGAACCAATAGATATTAACAGATACACTGCAATTCACGATAAGAAAAAATATTTAGGGCTTGTTTATCAAAACAAAACCTGATAAATGAAGAGAGGCTACTTTCATAGTTGAAACAGAGACAGACGTTTATGAAAGATGGAATGGCCTTGAGGACATTATGCTACATAAAATAAGCCAGTCACAGACAGACAAATGCTGCAAGATTATCTCATCTGAGGTATCTAAAATAGTCAAATTCATAGAATCAAACTGTAGAATGGGGTTGCCAGGGGTGGAGGAGAGTGAGAAATGAGGAGTTACTAATCAATGAGAATAAATTTTCAGTTAAGCAAGATGAGTAAGTTCTGGAGATCTAATGTATAACACTGTATCTGTAGTCAACAATATGTATTATACACGAAAATTTGTTAAGAGGTAGATCTCATGTTAAGTTTTGTTACCACAATTTTAAAACAATTTTAATAAAGATGGTGTGCAAGCATTTCACACATCTAGTATAGAACTGGACCTAAGCTCACAGCTGTTTTTTTAATTAATAAAAGTAACAAATAAGAATTGTGTTACAAGCTATTATATATCAAGTCATGAAATACCAATGGTCAATAAATACATGAAAAGATGCTCAACATCCTTAGTTATCAGAAAAATTTAAATTAAAATCACAAATTCCATTCACAAACACTAAATGGCTAAAATCAAAAAGATAAAAAAGAACAAATATTGGTGAGGATATGGAGCAATACAGACATTACTCATGGAAATATAAAATGGTATAACAACTTTGGAAAAGTGAAATGCCAATTTCTAGAAAGTTAAATATATATTTACCCTGTTACCCAGAAACTTCATTCTTTGTACCTGCTTCCCCAAATTAAAACATGTTCACAGAAACCCTTGTATAAGAAGTGGCATTTACACATAATAGCCAAAAACTGGAAACAACCAAATGTACATCTGGTGAATAAACAAATGTAATTGTGGTATATTCATACAATAAAATACTACTGAGCAATAAAAAAGAACTACCAATACATAAATGAATTGCAAAAACATGTGAGCAAAAGAAAAAAGACACAAAAGAATACATACTATATGATTTATTTTGCTCGAAATTCAGTAATAGATTTTTTTAAGTTCTATAGTAACGGAAATCAGAAAGTAGTTGACTGGGGGTAAAAAACTAGATTATCAATCATGAGGGAATTTTCTGGGGCTAGAGAAATGTTCTCTCTCGTTTTGGATGGTAGATAAGAGGCTGTAAATAAATGTCTAACAAAACCCATGTAATTAAACATCTATGATATGCATTTTATTGTACATTAACTATGCCTAAAAATTACATATATATAATTTATATATGTGATTTATATAATACACATGATTTATATTTATATATATGTGTGTATACATATATATAACCTTTATATATGTATACAAAGGTAACTTTTTAAAAAGAACATAGGATCTAACTTAAAGAAGTTTATATTGGCCAAAGATGAGACAATTTGAACACTGAAAACAATGATATCTGCATATCTGTAATAAAATGAAACCTATCTAATATGTATAAGCCAAGAGTTTGGGAGCACTAATTCAGTACTCTGAAAGCAGGTAACAGAAGAACATTAATCACCTCTACTTCATAAACTATGCTTCCGTTGTCTAATCTTGGACTTTCTGGGCTGCAGGATAAATGGGCACTATGTTTCTACTTGCTGATTATGGCCAAATCCAATACCCTTTTCTGAGTCTTCTTTTTACTACACACATCTCCCCATGGGTCCCAACAGCCTCACCTGCCACACTTTAACCTTCCCTTTCCCTCTGGGTCCATGAAAGAGTAAAGGGGCCAGCAGGCCCAGGCAGGGGCCTGGAGCACACCTGGGTCCTCTTCAGGCTCTCCTAGGGCCCTAGCTCCATGAGGGACAGAGATGGACCTCAATGTCCAGCAGTATCCAGAAGCAGAGTGACACGGGGCCTGGGGCCTCACGCCCTGCCACTCCTCAGCCTGAGCAGAGGAGAGAAGGTCCCATGACTGATTTTTCCTTCAGCTCCACTCCTCTGTAAACTTTGTTCCTCTGCTACTGTCTATATGTCTTCCTTCCTTCCATTCAAAATGTACAAATATTTTGTCTTCAACTGAAGATGATTCTTTAAAAATTCATGTTTTATCACATAATTATGAGGCATTGCATTGTACATATGGATGTTAAGTAAATAAATAAGAACAGGGCAAGTAGTGGTCCACAAAATACATACTGGCTTTTTAAAACTCATGCATATTTTTTCGTTTTTTATTGTGATGCCTTTCTATTAGAAATACAATTAAGAGGAATTATGCTTAGTCACCTGAATCCAACTAGTTTGACTGGTTAGGGTTTGTATTTAGAGGTTGATTCAAGGACTTAATTCCCACATGAGACAGTTAGTTTCACTCATCTTCCTATTAGAGATTCTACCCTCACCCAGGCCAGCGATGTCCCCGGGCATCAGAGTAGGAATCATTGCAAACACATAATTACAATTACAAAATCAATGAAAAGTACAATGTTTTATTGAACATCTTCATACATGAACAAACAGTTGTTAAATTATATAAATTTTCTTGGAAGACTTCTATAAGATTACTTATAAATGTGTTGAGAAACATCACACGTGGTTATTTTGAAATTTGGGCCAAAAATAATGGTACTCACCCCCTAAATCTGGTAATCTGTTTTGCTTTCAAATATGAATAAAAGTGTTCTGTTTGAAATCATCTGCTTTGTAGCAACATGGATGCAGCTGGAAGCCATTATCCTAAGTGAATTAATGCAGTAACAGGAATCCAAATACTGCATGTTCTCACTTATAAGTGGGAGCTAAACACTGAGTACTCATGTACATAATGATGGCAACAATAGACACTGGTAACTATGAGAATGGGGAGGGAGGGGGTTAGGGGTTGAAAAAGTAACTACTGGATATTACACTCACTACCTGGGTAACGGGATCATTCATATCCCAAACTTCAGCATCACACAATATACACATGTAACAAAACTACATATATATATATATATATATATATATATATATATATATATATATATATATATATATATGCCCTGAATCTAAAATAAAAGTTGAAATCATTTTTTAAAGTGCTCTGTTATCTTTATTAGTGTCCACTCCAATTCAGTAAAAATAATCAATATGAGAGTCTATATTTCTTCACAAGCATTATCGACAGATCTTATGATCAAAGATCACTTGGAAGGCACAGTGTTGAGATCCTTTCACAGTTGTGGTTACAATTACGTTCACAAGCTACACCTGCCATGAGAGAATACTTGGCACCAGATTATTTGCCAGCAAGCAGGCTACAGGCCCAATACATAAGCTTGGCCTCATGGGCATTATGCTCTTATCTGAAGTAACTGGCCTAGACCCTTTTTTTACAACACATACTTGAGCGCTTTTTCACACATTGTCCATGTCAGGTCTTGGAGGATACTGTCAGAGGAATCTGTAAAGTTACAAAATGAAGGAGCAAAAAATGTTAAGAATTTAAACTGTCTTCTTGGCTGTCACTCTTGCTATACTTTTTGATAATGCATCTAGTCCCCAGATATTAGCATTAGCACGTCCAGTCTCGAAGGAAACATGCCTTCCTCCTATAAGAAACCGGCTGCTTTCAAAAAGCAGCTCCAGTGTTAGAATTTTTCATCCCATAAAGAAAAATATATTATTTCAAAATACATATATTTAATTTGTACCTAGAGTGTGTTACATCATAATGTTTTTATTTTTTGCACCAAGAAGGTAATTTCTTAAACTATAAACATTTCAATATAATAACACATATGATAGAGATGAAACTATGTTTCATAGTTAGTCTACTTATATGTTCACTATAAATTCTTGTGTTTGCCAAGGTGTTTGGACTACAAACATGTTCACAATGAGCTAGGTTTAAAATCTACTTCCATCAAACATACTGTCGTATCTAAAAATACCTTACCGCATACAGATAAGACAAATCAGACAGCAGGGATAGTAAATCTTAAGGAAACTCTTTATCTCTTAACATATAAGTGTATGCATAACTGAGAAATAATTAAGTTAAATTATACTGGGCTTTACTCAACACTAATATAAAATCTCATATTTTCTATGAGGGAATATACATCTACTTTATATAAAATCAGTTTTCATTCATTTACACTGTTTGAATAACATCTCAAATTGCAATTTGAAGTTTTATTTAAGCTGACTTTCACAGTTCTCACAAGTATCAAGATCTGATAATGCTACTTAATGTGGCTTTGAAGTAGCAGAATGAAGGTTTTTAAAATAAGAATAGATGGGCCTCATTCTACTAAGAGATACCATTCAAAGCAAGAAATAATACAACATGGTTAAGCAGCTCAGGTTACTCTTCCCTCACTGAGGAGATTTTCTATAAAAGAGTCTGAAGGAGAATTAACAATGTCCACTTACAAGAAGAAAATAAAACAACAGAAGAGCAGAAATTCATGGTACTATGCACATTGACTAAAAGAAAGCATACCTTTCTCTCTCTCCTTCGGTGATATCATATAAGCGGTTGGCACCTCCATCGGCACAGGCTCTTAAAAGAGCTTCAAATAGAAAGAACAAAATCATTTCAATACAGGAGGCACAGAGCAATATCTTTCAAATGATGATCACTAAAAAGCAGGCACTCAGACGCACAGAGTCACGCTAACCTCTGTGAATCATTTCACATTCATCTGTTGACACTGCTGGTACTAAAAACAATTCTATATTGCACATGACAAATGACAAGTTTATTTCCTTTCTGCATCTTTTTTTTTTTTTTTTTCCTGAAATGGAGTCTGGCTCTGTTGCCCAGGCTGGAGTGCAGTGGTGTGATCTCGGCTCACTGCAACCTCCACTTCCCGGGTTCTAGAGATTCTCCAGCCTCAGCCTCCCAAGTAGCTGGGATTACAGGCATGCGCCACCATGCCTAGCATATTTTTGTATTTTTAGTGGAGACGTGGTTTCACCATATTGGCCAGGCTGGTCTCAAACTCCTGACCTCAGGTGATCCACCCACCTCAGCCTCCCAAAGTGCTGGGATAACAGGCATGAGCCACCGCGCCCAGGCTTTGCATCTTTTTTGATTAAATAAAGGAGAAGACTGTAGACGGTGCTAGCATGTCTTCAATGTTTCTTGAAATTTTTTTTCCTTTTTATAACAGAAGATAGGCCTCAGGCTCTATGACAGGCAACAGAAAATGGTTTGTTGTTTTTGCAGTTTGAGACAGGGTCTTGCGCTGTCACCCAGGCGTGAGTCCAATGGCTCGATCACAGCCCACTGCAGCCTCAACCTCCTGGACTCAGGTGATCCTCCCACCTCAGTCTCCCAGGTAGCTGGGGCTACAGACACACACCACCGTATCCTGCTAATTTTTATATTTTTTGTAGAGATAGGGTTTGCCCAGGCTGGTTCCAAACTCCTGGGCTCAAGTGATCCACCCACCTTGGACTCCCAAAGTGTTGGGATTACAGGCGTGAGCCTCTGCACCCGGCAGGATATGGTTTTCATTGTGTTCCCTCCTTTTAATAATTTTTACATATCCTTTTGATTTACAATATGTAGTATGGGTTTCAATTTTTATTTTGATTAAAACATTTCCTCTTAAAAATAAATGTTTATTTTAAAATATAAGTAAATAATAATCTAGATAATATGAGCATAATGTAAAAATTGTGAAGGTGGTACAAAATTAACTGAAACTTGGAAATGCTAAGGTAATCAAATAAATCCTGCTGTCTCTCCAACTTGGGCCTTGGCCTCCTCCTTTCGCATGATTTCTCCCTGCTACTGCTCTCGGATTTGATGCTGCTTATCAACTGCTCCCTGAAGTTTTTGCAGTCCATGGAAAGCTATTTTTATTGCTGGTGCTACCTTTCTGAGTTTTGTTCTTCATAGAAATATTTAGTATCTTAGCATCAGCTCAGAATGAACATTGTTAGGCATCAAACTAGCAGGTTCTTTGCTAGAGGCCTAAGATAATGTGACAGGGTCTCCACTTTAAGCATCTTCTAACCAGTGCAAATAAGCCAGAAGCCGATTTATTAAAGTCCACTCTCAGAATTGACAAACAAAGTGAGAAACTACTTTTCTTTGAAATTAAAATTAATGGCACAGGTAAGCGGAATTGAGGGAAAGAAAACAAACAGCCACTTTCCCTTATGTATTCCTCAGGTATTTGAAATACAAAATAGTTCAGATGAGTACAGCCTCTAGAAAAAGATCAGTGACACATGATTTGTTTTAGAAACTGTAAAATAATAGATGCTAGAAAATGACCACTTAAACAAATAAAAATCCACAGTTTCCATTGTGGGAATTTCCCCTGAATTTAATCCACCCACGAGGGCAAGATGTCGTATGAAAGTATTTGAAATAGGATGGAATGGTCCGAAATCTCAGCAGGGGACCTAACCACCTCCTGACATTTCACACCTGCATACCCCACCCAGCTTTAATGTACATTTAATGAGCCTCTCTTGGTGGTAAAGACACTCCTCTTCCGTGTGGCTGCAAATGTAATGACTTCAGCTTCATTCTGGAATAATAGATTAGCTGAGTATAAATAATACTGTAAATTGGTAGTAAATTTGACGGTATTAGTACATTGGCTTCTGATTGCCATTGGTACACTGATACTTTCAGAAAGCCGCTGTCAGTCCAATATTCTTGTGTATCTAACCTGTTTTCTCTTTTTGGCAAATTTTAAGACTTTCCCTTTGTCTTTAGTTTTCCGAATTTCACCATCGTGTAGCTTATTTGGAATTAACTGTGCTTCCAAGGTTGGGCGTGGAGGCCTTAGGAATGTAATCCCAGCACTTTGAGAGGCAAAGGCGGGAGGACTGCTTGAGCTGAGAAATTCAAGACCGGCCTGGGCAACATGGCACGACCCTGTCTCTACAAGAAATTTTTAAAAATTAGCTGAGCATGGTGGCACTCACCTGTAGTCCCAGCTACTTAGGAGGCTGAGCTGGAGGATCGCTTGAGCCTGGGGAGGTCCAGGCTGCAGTAAGCCAAGATGGCACCACTGCACTCCAGCCTAGGCGACAGAGCCAGACCCTGTCTGAAAAACAACAACAACAAAATGTGCTTCCTAAATCTGAGGACCCATGACTTTCTTCAGTTCTGGATAATTCTTAGCCACTTTTAATTCCATTATTTCCTACCTTCCATTCTCTCTACGCATCAATTTTCTGACTCTCCATTTAAACGTATTTTTAGACAGTCTCATTCTGCCCTTCACATTTCTTTTTTTTTTTTTTTTTTTTTTTTTTTTTCTTTTTTTTTTTTTTTTATTATACTCTAAGTTTTAGGGTACATGTGCACATTGTGCAGGTTAGTTACATATGTATACATGTGCCATGCTGGTGCACTGCACCCACTAATGTCACATTTCTTAAACTGTGTCGCTTCTATCACCTTTTCTTTCTGTGTATGCATGTAATTTCTTCAAACCTCTCTTGCAATTATGTCTAGTCACCTGTTTAAAACATTAAAGTTTATAGTCTTACTGATTCTTTTTAAAGAAGTTCTATTTGATTCTTTTTTCAATTCAAGGTCTTTTCTGATAATCTGTTGCTAATATTTTCTATACCTTCTTTTATCTTTTTTTTTTTAAAATCCTTTTCCTATGGATGGGATATTTAAAGAATATCTACCTGACTATATTGTCAGAAATAAAAGTTCCAATGTATTTTCCACTTATCCATGATATGTAAGACTATTTTCTGTGTTCTATGGTACATGAGAAATAAAGCAGAGGCGAAGTGGAAAAAAAAATATTCATTTTCTCTGTAGCTTACTCACCAGTAAATAAGCATATTACTTATGGAATAAGGTTATTAAGTAATTACTTAATGATTATATATAGTGCTCATTACGATACAAGAATACAATAAGCATTCAATAAACATTGAGTCCTCTTTTTCCATTTTTGTCAGAATGAAAAAAAAATCTGAAAAGATTGTGTTTCTGGAAAAGAAAAGCCTTATCTACTTAGAAAATAAAAAACAAAAATAAGAGTTTTTATAAAGACATCTAAAAGGGATGTCTCATTTTACAAATTACCAACACACATTTCCTAGTAAGGAGTGACACTCAAATTCAAATTATGTCACAAATATAACTTGCAGAAGATCACAGAAGATATCGCACATTTCCTAAGTATCAAAACCATCAAAAGCTAAAAAACAGAGATCATTTCACGTATAAAATATAGCACAAAACAAGTGATTAGGGAGATAGAAAGGACTCGTTAATAGAAACAGATGGTAAACTATCGGTAATTATCTTTAGAGAATATAAAACAATTCTCTGTAAACAAAACTAACAAGTGTATGGAATATTTTTATGTAATAACCGATTCACTAAAGTAATATGAAAATCTCAGAAATAGTAGTTTTTAATGGTCAAGGATTATCAAATAGAATGACTTGCCAATTTTTCACATTACACCATTTTGCAAAGATCGGTTGAATTCAACGTGTATTCCTATTATGTGCTAGGCTTACATAAGATAAAAAGATGAACAATAAACAGATCTAGTTCTCTGGGTTCATATTATAGTGAAAAACACGAAAACAGAAGCAAATACATGCAATGCACTGTAGACTGTGGTGAGGGCTGTAAAGAAGTCACCAAAATGCAAGAGGAAGACAAGGAAAGAAGAAATGAATTTCAGCGGGCAAATGTGTAAAACTGCTAATAATAAATCCAGTTCAGCTAAGATCATTGTTACTTTTACAATAGAAAAAACGCTAATGCCTGTTATTTCCAACATCCACCTTTAAATTGATATTTCTTGAGCAGTGTATAAAAAGAGAAACACCTATATCATAGGAAGTAAATTTGTCCACATCTATTCCTGCTTTAAATGGCAAAGGGAGCTAAAATAAGCATGATGAAATGTTTAGACTATTTTCTCAGTGCTTGTAGGTTGAGAGTAGGGATTCAATCCATCTGGAAGGAAAAACAAGTTCCAGTCTGTCCCTAAAACCATTTTGTTTTCAATAAAGCATGACCAAAAAAATGTATTCTACCTCTCCTTCATTTTATTAACAAAGAGGTTTTCACCAGTTTCAAATATTTTCTATAAACATAAATAAAACTGCATTTGAAAAATGAAATGTTTCCAACACATTGTAAACAACATTGGCATAAGTTCACACACAGCGACATTTGAAAAATGTGTAAACCAATATCACTGTTAGAGAAAGTGACCAACTAAAGGAACCAGAAGTAGAGGACATTCTTTAATTTTTGATAAATCGTAATGAATCTACCTAAAAAAAGTTCACTTTATCATCATTTAAGTTGTCCCAAGCTTTAATGAATAGAAGTTACTGCATGAGTTATCTTTTAATGTAAAAATTCTATTGGCTTATACAGCAAAATTTCTGCAGATTTGTCACATACCATAACTTCAATGGTTGAGCAATTACTTACCATGCAACAGGCTGATAAACAGATGAAGACTAAAATATATTAAAAACCTCTACAGCAACTTTATATTTTAGTAGAACCCGTAAGTAGGTGAAATACATCTTTAACTTTTTTTTTTTTTTACTTGGCATAAGTTAACATTACTGACAAATAATGAAGAGCTTCAGGCACAAGCAGAGGTTAGTTCCCTATTTCAAATAGTTCCCTATTTCTTTGGAATAAAGTTGAGTTGAAATAACTTCACTTTCTGCAAAGTAGATTATAAATTAGTTCCAAATATTAAAGTAGGAGAATAAAACAAAATAGATTCTGCAGTTTCAGTTAACTCAAAGAATACGAGAGACAGACAGTGCTAGTCTAGATCAGCCACTTAGTCCTATGATGTTGAGCTAATCCTAAGCATTCTGATTTTAGTGCAAAATCAAGATCATTTTGTATATCCTACCAAAATCACACACACAAAAATTCAGGGACTAGAGAGAGACAACATAAATAAAAGTAGAAGGAAGGTGCAGGAGGAAACATTATCTCACACGCTGTTGATGAGACTATAACGTTGAGGGACAGTTTGGCAGATTTATAAAAAATTTAAAGGTGTTTACCTTTTTATCCAGAAATTCTATGTAGCTTGCATAAATACTTGCCCAAAATTACAAGGAAATATGTACAAGGATATTTGCTGTGACAGTATGTGTAATCATGAAAAACTAATAGCAAACTTATACTGCCCACAGCTGAATACTGATAAAATATACCATGGTCCTATTTTACTACCAACAAAAACGTTAGATCTTATATGTATTAGTATATTATCTGTTATGAGATATATTGTTACTTTTAAAGTTTGAATAACCTTGGTCAAATCTTCCTTGCAATAGCAATTCATGGAAGGTATAGGAACATACCAAATCCAAGAAAGCATCAGGGAAAGGTCTTTATGTCAAGGTTGTAGATCAAGTAATCGGCCATCAGCATTAATAAGATGCACCTGCACTGGAAAATGGTCCCTAGTCTGGCACCCCGAAGGAAACAAAGGGATAAAAACTAAAGAGACCCCAAAATCAATGGCTTCCCTGGAAAAGCATATCCAAAATGTGGACTTACTGGTACATTTGAAAGCAATTACTGTGAAATGACAGACCTCACTAATTTTGTTATCAAGCTTTATTACCTGCCTTGTGCCCTTAAACTTGGCATTGAGTAAAGCCTATCATGTCTTATTAGTTTGTTAATCCAAACACAAGACCACTTCTATATTCCATACACCAAACTCATTAACAGGGATTATTTATGAGAAATGGGGTTGGCATAATGAAAAAGACTTTTTAAAAAATTACTTACAATAATCACTGTGCTGTTAAAGATATTTTTCTCAGTAATATGAATTATATTGTAATTACAATTTTAAAACCAACAGTAATAATTAAAAGGAAAAATAAGAGTTATAGACTTAAGATATAGCAAGAATGATTCCAGATACAATCTCAGGAGAAAGAATTAGATATTTTGCCAGGTTGGTCAGGATTGAGTCACAGGTGTCCACAGTTAAATTACAGGACAGAGAAGTTCCAGAATCTTATTTAGAAGATGTTTCACTGAGTCCCAGGAGAGCTAAATAATTCTAATTACTTAAATCCTGTTTATTCCTAACCAAGTTCTTGCCCCTATTACTCCGAAGATTCAATTAAGTCTTATGTTCCTGAAATCAATCTAATCTGTCAATATTCATAGTTTGAGCTAGGGATTCTGTCCCAAACCCGAGAAACAACAGTAAACCACTTAATCTCCAACTTCTGGTAAGCCACCTCTAGCACCCATAAGAGTTAGAAAGAAAATATATCCCGTCTGAATGCACCTCAGAAACAGCCCACTAGCAACTGCACATCAATAAGGAAGTGATAATTATTTGTTAAACATGTGAGTACATACATAACTACACAGGTATCAGTTTAAAGTTTACTATCAGGCATGAAGAAGATAAGTGAGTTTTTGTTTTTGTTTTAATTTGTATTGAATTAAGAACACAAGATCAGATCTAATCCCTTAAATAAGTATATAAAAAACAGTATTGTTAACTATAGATACAATAGCGTACAAAAGATCTCTAGAATTTGTTCATCTGGCATTGACTAAAACTTTACACTCATTGAAGAGCAACTCCCCATTTGCCCTTCCCCCAAGCTCCTGGTAACCAGCATTCTACCCTCTGATTATATATGTCTGACTATTTTTGATACTTCATATTAAGTAGAATCACGCTGTATTTGTCTTTCTGTGACTGGCTCGCTTCGGTTAGCATAATGTTATCTCGGTTCATCTATGTTGTCACATATTATGTTCATTCTTTTTTAAGGCTGAAAAACATTTCATTATATGTATAGTCTACATTTCTTTATTGATTTATCCATTGACATTTAGGTTGTTTCCATATCTTAGCTATTGTGAGTGGTGCCACAATGAACATGGGAGTGCTAATACCTGTTTGGGATCCTGATTTCCATTCTTTTGGATTAAACACCCAGAAGTGGGATTTCAGGACTTTATGGTAATTTTATTGTTAATTTTCACCATACAGTTTTCAACAGTGTAAACCAACCGAGTGCACATGTTTTTCACTCCTACCAAGTGTCCAAGTGTTCCAATTTCTCCATATCCTCAACAATACATGCTGTCTTTTGTTTTTTGATAATAGTCATCCTAACAGGTGTGAGTCAATACCTCACTGTGGTTTTGATTTGTATTTCCCTGATGATTAGTGAATTGAACATCTTTTCATGTACCTGTTGGCCATTTGTGTGTCTTCTTTAGAGAAATGTCTATTCAAGTCCTTTAACCATTTTGAAGAGAGTAGATTTTAGATGTGCTTACCAAAAAAAAAAAAATATATATATATATATATATAAGATGATGAGTATGTTAAACTGCTTACCTCTAATCATTATGTATATCAAAACATCATGTTGTACCTTTCAAAAGAAGACATACACATGGCCAACATCTAAAAATGCTCAGCATCACTAATTATTAGAGAAATGCAAATTAAAACCACAATGAGATACCATCTCACATCAATCAGAATGGCTATTGTTAAAAAGTCAAAAAATAACAAGATGCCGGCAAGACTGTGGAGAAAAGGGAATTCTTATACACTGCTGGTGGGAATGTAAATTAGTTCTGCCACTATGGAAAGCAGTTTGGTGATTTCTCAAAGAACTTAAAACAGAATTACCATTCAACCCAGCAATCCCATTATTGGGTATATACCCAAAGGAATATAGATCGTTCTGCCATAAAGACACACACACACGTATGTTCACTGCAACACTATTCACAATAGCAAAAACACGGAATCAACCTAAATGCCCATCAACAGTAGAGTGGATAAAGAAAATGTGGTACAGATATGTCATGGAATACTACAGAGCCATAAAAAAAAAACAGATTATGTCTTTTGCAGCAACATGGATGAAGCTGGAGGCCAGTATCATAAGCAAACTAACACAGGAACAGAAAACCAAATACTGCATGTTCTCACTTATAAAAGGGTGCTAACCACTGAGAACACACACACACAAAGAAGGGAACAACACATACCAGAACCTACTTGAGGGCAGAAGGTGAGAAAAAGGAGAGGATCAAAAAACTACCTATTGAATACTATGATTAGTACCTGAGTGATAAAACAGCCTGTACACTAAACCCCATGACACAAAATTTACCAATATAACAAACCCACATATATACCCCTGAACCTAAAAGTTCACAAAAAATCATACTGTATACCTTAAATTTATATTAAAAACTTCTCAATTTTTTTTTATTATACTTTTTTAGGGTACATGTGCACATTGTGCAGGTTAGTTACATATGTATACATGTGCCATGCTGGTGCACTGCACCCACTAACTCATCATCTAGCATTAGGTATATCTCCCAATGCTATCCCTCCCCCCTCCCCCGACCCCACCACAGTCCCCAGAGTGTGATATTCCCCTTCCTGTGTCCATGTGATCTCATTGTTCAATTCCCACCTATGAGTGAGAATATGTGGCGTTTGGTTTTTTGTTCTTGCCATAGTTTACTGAGAATGATGATTTCCAATTTCATCCATGTCCCTACAAAGGACATGAACTCATCCTTTTTTATGGCTGCATAGTATTCCATGGTGTATATGTGCCACATTTTCTTAATCCACTCTATCATTGTTGGACATTTGGGTTGGTTCCAAGTCTTTGCTGTTGTGAATAATGCCCCAATAAACATACATGTGCATGTGTCTTTATAGCAGCACAATTTATAGTCCTTTGGGTATATACCCAGTAATGGGATGGCTGGGTCAAATGGTATTTCCAGTTCTAGATCCCTGAGGAATCGCCACACTGACTTCCACAATGGTTGAACTAGTTTACAGTCCCACCAACAGTGTAAAAGTGTTCCTATTTCTCCACATCCTCTCCAGCACCTGTTGTTTCCTGACTTTTTAATGATCGCCATTCTAACTGGTGTGAGATGGTATCTCATTGTGGTTTTGATTTGCATTTCTCTGATGGCCAGTGATGATGAGCATTTTTTCATGTGTTTTTTGGCTGCATAAATGTCTTCTTTTGAGAAGTGTCTGTTCATGTCCTTTGCCCACTTTTTGATGGGGTTGTTTGTTTTTTTCTTGTAAATTTGTTTGAGTTCATTGTAGATTCTGGATATTAGCCCTTTGTCAGATGAGTAGGTTGCGAAAATTTTCTCCCATTTTGTAGGTTGCCTGTTCACTCTGATGGTAGTTTCTTTTGCTGTGCAGAAGCTCTTTAGTTTAATTAGACCCCATTTGTCAATTTTGGCTTTTGTTGCCGTTGCTTTTGGTGTTTTAGACATGAAGTCCTTGCCCATGCCTATGTCCTGAATGGTAATGCCTAGGTTTTCTTCTAGGGTTTTTATGGTTTTAGGTCTAATGTTTAAGTCTTTAATCCATCTTGAATTGATTTTTGTATAAGGTGTAAGGAAGGGATCCAGTTTCAGCTTTCTACATATGGCTAGCCAGTTTTCCCAGCACCATTTATTAAATAGGGAATCCTTTCCCCATTGCTTGTTTTTCTCAGGTTTGTCAAAGATCAGATAGTTGTAGATATGCGGCGTTATTTCTGAGGGCTCTGTTCTGTTCCATTGATCTGTATCTCTGTTTTGGTACCAGTACCATGCTGTTTTGGTTACTGTAGCCTTGTAGTATAGTTTGAAGTCAGGTAGTGTGATGCCTCCAGCTTTGTTCTTTTGGCTTAGGATTGACTTGGCGATGTGGGCTCTTTTTTGGTTCCATATGAACTTTAAAGTAGTTCTTTCCAATTCTGTGAAGAAAGGCATTGGTAGCTTGATGGGGATGGCACTGAATCTGTAAATTACCTTGGGCAGTATGGCCATTTTCACGATATTGATTCTTCCTACCCACGAGCATGGAATGTTAATCCATTTGTTTGTATCCTCTTTTATTTCCTTGAGCAGTGGTTTGTAGTTCTCCTTGAAGAGGTCCTTCACATCCCTTGTAAGTTGGATTCCTAGGTATTTCATTCTCTTTGAAGCAATTGTGAATGGGAGTTCACTCATGATTTGGCTCATGATCAAGTGGGCTTCATCCCTGGGTTGCAAGGCTGGTTCAATATACGCAAATCAATAAATGTAATCCAGCATATAAACAGAGCCAAAGACAAAAACCACATGATTATCTCAATAGATGCAGAAAAAGCCTTTGACAAAATTCAACAACGCTTCATGCTAAAAACTCTCAATAAGTTAGGTATTGATGGGACGTATTTCAAAATAATAAGAGCTATCTATGACAAACCCACAGCCAATATCATACTGAATGGGCAAAAACTGGAAGCATTCCCTTTGAAAACTGGCACAAGACTGGGATGCCCTGTCTCACCACTCCTGTTCAACATAGTGTTGGAAGTTCTGGCCAGGGCAATTAGGCAGGAGAAGGAAATAAAGGGTATTCAATTAGGAAAAGAGGAAGTCAAATTGTCCCTGTTTGCAGACGACATGATTGTATATCTAGAAAACCCCATTGTCTCAGCCCAAAATCTCCTTAAGCTGATAAGCAACTTCAGCAAAGTCTCAGGATACAAAATCAATGTACAAAAATCACAAGCATTCTTATACACCAACAACAAAACTTCTCACTTTAAAATAGGGTTATTAGTTTTCTCACTATTGAGTTCTAGGAGTTCCTTATGTATTTTAGAAATTAACCCCTTATCAGATACATGGTTTGCAAATATTTTCTCCTATTCCATAGGTTGCCTTTTCACTCCATTGCTTCCTTTGCTCTGCAGAAGCTCTTAAATTTGATGTAGTCCCACTTGTCTATTTCTGCTTTGGTTTCCTTTGCTTTTGATGTCATATCCATGAAATCATTGCCATGATCAATGTCATGAAGTTTCCCCGCTATGTTTTGTTTTAGGTCTTTCATAGTTTCAGGTCTTACAGTTAAATCTTTAATTTATTTTCAGTTGAAAATCTGAGTTTTTAACCAGCTCTTTTCTTTCTTTCTTTTTTTTTTTTTTTTTGAGACAGGGTCTTATGCTGATGCTCAGGCTGGAATGCAGTGGTGCGATCACAGCTCATGGTCACCTCAAACTCCTGGGCTCGAGCAATCCTCTTACCTCAACCTTCAAGTAGTTGAAGCTACAGGTACATCTCACCATACGTGACTAATGTTTTTAAATTTTATAGAGACAAGGTCTAACTATGTTGCCCAGGCTGGTCTCAAAATCCTGGCCTCAACTGATCCCCTCAATGTGGCCTCCCAAAGCCAGGATTATAGAGGCATGAGCCACCATACACCCAGTCTTATCCAATTTTCATCACTAGGGACAATACTGATATAATACTTTATACTTTAATCAGCCAAGATGCTCTAAACTGATACATTCTTTCAGAAATATTACTTGCTGAAAAGTATTTAATTTACCTACAGGTATTTTTCTGCCTGTGTTAAAACCCCAAATATAGATTGAAGCCTAATAAGAAATACACTTTATAAAAAGACTCATGGAAATTTTCACTTAATGAATTCCTAAGAATGTTTGGGTGGTCGGTTTTGATATTTCTTAAATACTTTATAAACAATAAAATGTCTATTTAGGATATTTCTATTATTTAAAAGAGAAGTTATGGTATTTCCTTGAAGATCTTCATAAGTAGGGGGTATAAAATATATTGATCAATGACAAAAGCAAGAGAAAGAAACACATACGGTACTATACATATACAACATAAAAAGGTATTAATTTTTACATCTATAGAATTGCAAGTGCAATAAACTTGTTACAGTGGTACTTCTGGAAAGAGAGAAGAGTTAGGACAAATATTTATATTGTACATAATTTAAATTTTCTTCAGGGCAACTTACTCTTGCACTCTCAGCTATAAGTGGTATTGAATCCCAACCAAATCCAAGCTCAGCATATGGCTCAATCTATGCCATCACAATCTCCTGGCTAGAGTGACTGATTCAGAGACAGAAATATGACCCAGGCAAAGAAAATGAGAGCTAAGGAGACTTTGCAGGTTTCCTCTTCAACTGTCCTGTAACTTGTGGGACTAAGCATTTGATTCTATGATCATGTATTACTCTACCCTGAGAATGAAGCCAAAACAGTGAAGGTAAGGCTAGGAGACAAGAGAAGACACTGTTTGAGTGTCTATAACTGCAGGCAAAGCCAGCCACTAGCCTTTCCAACTATGTGAGCTAATAAATGCTCTTTCTAGGTTCAGGCAAATTTAAGCTGGGTTGTCTGTCACTTAAAACAGAATTAATATCTGTATTAATACAAATATTAATTTCTGCTCCAAAGACACAAAATCCTCCTTTCAGTTGGAAAATTCTACTTTATTATGCCTCAAATATATGTTGGAACAAGCACGTAAGAGGAGGTGTATATTTTTGCAGGTACTTTGCCTATTGTTGGTATACGCTATCATGAGCGAAGGTCTAAATGAGTTTATGGACATAGTTAACAGAAACAGATCAGTAGATTTCCCTATCAAGACATTATTTCATGTGGAATACTTGTATTACAAGCATTTCACAGAAATATATGCTCTCCTTGAGAGACAGTAACAATTTACTTGGCTCATAAGAGTGCTGAAATGTATAATTAATTGTTTAGAGAACTCTTTCAGCACTGTAGAAAGTTTTATTATAGTATATTTATGTGCAATTATCAAGAAAGTTCACATTATTTGTAATATCCTACAAACAATGAGTCTAATACTCTGAATTTTAGTCAAGTCAGTAGCACAGAATTACATTACATAGAATAAAAATCAGGTGGCATTTATATTAAGCATCTACAAGTACAGTGCTGTGCTAGTCCTCATGATATGGTTCTTACCAGGTAATGAAGAGTTTTATTACATTTTGGTAAATATTGTTGTGTAAATTCTATTACCCTTTTTATCTAACACTTCCTGCTTCCTCCTCTCCTAGTTATATTCACTATGGAGAAAAAGTATGACATTTAATCATCCTTGATCCTATTCATAAAGTCTACGATCAGATAATTCTTTAATACTGAGTGACACTAAATACCTCATTACTAAGAAATCTGAGGGAAACAACCAAACCTCAACTATCTCTCTTCATCCTAAAGTGGCACAGAAAAATTTTTCTAAAAGATGAGCAAAACTCGGCCAGGTGTGGTGGCTCACGCCTGTAATCCCAGCACTTTGGGAGGCCAAGGCGGGCAGATCACAAGGTGGAGATCAAGACCATCCTGGCTAACACGGTGAAACCCCGTCTCTACTAAAAAATACAAAAAATCAGCCAGGTGTGGTGGTGGGCGCCTGTAGTCCCAACTACTTGGGAGGCTGAGGCAGGAGGATGGCGTGAACCTGGGAGGCGGAGCTTGCAGTGAGCCGGGATCACGCCACTGCACTCCAGCCTGGGTGACAGAGTGAGACTCTGTCTCAAAAAAAAAAAAAAAAAGATAGGCAAAACTCATATTGTATAAAAACTGCAAATAGGTAAACAGCACAGAAAAAAAAACTTGTATGTGTAAAGCTAGTACATGCACGTTTGTCCAAATATTAGTTGATAGGAACCATTAAGGTTTACGTGTACCCTCAATCATTGTATTTTTACTAAAGATTGGCCATGCTTTAGGAACAAGGTAGCAAACATGCAAGCTCAACCTTTAACGAATAAGAAAACTTACAAAAGAACTTTGTTGGTGTTTCTCTAGTACCTTGGCACTATCACATTTTGGGTCTTTTTATATGGGTAGATGTCTGGTGCATTGTAGCATAGTTAGCAGCATTCTTGGCCTCTACCAGTTAGATGCCAATAGTAATCCTCGGTTGTGACAACCAAAATATCTGCAAATGTCAAATGTCCCTTGGTGGGCAAAATCACTACCAGTTGAAAATGAGTGCAACAAAGAGAGCACAACTCAAACTTCAGCAGGCTGCCCAGAGTCCCATAATACTTAGCTGTGTAGCAGACTGCTCGCTGTTATTCTCTAACTTTTCCAATTTTGAAAACAAACCTATCACCCAGAAACTACACTC
Source organism: Homo sapiens (assembly GCF_000001405.40). Lineage (NCBI taxonomy): Eukaryota > Metazoa > Chordata > Mammalia > Primates > Hominidae > Homo > Homo sapiens. Next base: position 144,697,417 of record NC_000007.14, read on the forward strand.
TACCTGGCAACCAAAGTCAGGTAAATTAACACAGCAATTTATGTGCTAAGTTGCCTTCACATCTATCCCAGATGCACAGGTAACAACTTACTATTTCAGGCTTACTGAATCTTCAGTAAGACTTCTCATACAATCTGGATATGTACGGATAACTGTGATACTCTGGGTAGTCTTATAGCAGTCTTATAGCATAATCCCACATCATCTCCATTTATGCCTCCTATTTATTTGAGAACCTATTCCTAAATTATTGCTATACTAGTGACAACAGTCAAAGTCAGGTCCTTCTGACTACCGTCCTGGATCTGCTGGATAGTTCACATCATCTCCCACGATGGTGAGAAAAAGAAAACATCCGGCTGGGCACAGTGGCTCACGCCTGTAATCCCAGCACTTTGGGAGGCTGAGGCAGGCGGATCACTTGAGGCCACGAGTTCGAGACCAGCCTGGCCAACATGGTGAAACCCCATCTCTCCTAAAAAAATAAAAAATACAAAAATTAGCCAGGCATGGTGGCGCATGCCTATAATCCCAGCCACTCGGGAGGCTGAGGCAGGAGAATTGCTGGAATCCAGGAAGCAGAGGTTGCAGTGAGCTGAGATTGCACCACTGCACTCCAGCCTGGGTGACACAGAGAGACTGTTTCAAAAAAAAAAGAAAAAGAAGAAAAAAAAGAAAGAAAACATACCACATGTATCACCACCACAGAGAATGAGCACCAAAAGTGACAATTTCTATTGGATCAGTTAACTTCATAATGTAAAAACATCAGTAAAGTGGCAGTGTCAAAATAATGAAATGTGGCAGATATCTATGAATGAGCAAAATAGTAAAATATATATAACTACCAAGAAGCGTTGGAATAAAAGAAATGGGTAATAATAGTGGTTGGTCCAGTCAGCAAAAGTAAAAGTATTTAAGTAAAGCTTTTAAATTAAAATAACTGTTGCTGCAACCATATTACATAATGAATGTAGAAGAAGGTGGAAAAGCTTGGAACTGTTTCGCCTCCTTGCCTGTTTCTTTGTCACCAGAATTCCTTTTCTCTTCATCTTTTCTGGATCAGTGGTCACAGATCCCAGAACTCATATACAAGTCATATTTCAAATGAGAGATTCATTGTTGCATATATCAAAAGTGAAAGCACATCAAAATCAGATACTTTGTTACACAAAAATGTGATACTTAACCTTTATCTTACTCTGTAGAGGTAGAAGGAAAAAAGTACCTAATCAGCTTATATCTCCACCTATCCTGGTACCTTTGATATATTTACAAAAATATCAACACAATTTACTGAGTAGGAGTTTCTAGCAAACACATCTATTCTCTTAAACAGTGATCATTAAATCTAAGCGGTGATAATAGGTTAACTTGGGGAATCAGACCTTAATGCCAAATAATTAGAAACAGAAATGACTGTATATTTTTACTACCGACTAATGCAAGAATTTCACATATTATGGTCTTAGAACTCGACTATGCTCTTTTTCTAAATGAGCACAATCAAAAGTTAATTCTTCCTTAGGAAACAGGGGACAGTGTGAAGACTAAGAATAGAAAGAAGGGAGAGGAATTGTGGAGAGTGTTTCTAGAAAAGAAAAACGGAAAGAAAAAGAATAACTGGATTCAGGTTAAAAGCAAGAGATAATTACCCAAAAATTCACAGTGGGCCTTCTGTAGATGAAGAGTTACAATCTTGTGGGGTGAGGGGCAACTTAAGAGCAAAGTGCTTAAAGGAGGTCAAAGTGTTTAAAATGAATGCTTTACTAATTACCACATTTCTTGGTTTGTGGAACACAGAATGGTTTTTGGTATTTAGGCTATCTCAGGGCATCTTAGGAATACATTAATCTTCATCCTTAAAATATGATTGATCAAGGCATGGAAAAGCTTGTAACTTAAAATAACTAAAAGTAGGCCAGCTGTTTTTGAGTTTACTTAGATAACAGAATAATTATACAAGATAAAGTTGAGAGGTAGTCAAAAACCGATTATTTAGACCACAATGACAAAGACAGTTTAAATATAAAGGGAAGTCATTAAAGATTTTAAGTTGAAGAGTGTTATATTCTAGCTTACATGTTAAGACCATTCTTCCATGATACTATAAGAAAAGAAAATCACAGGCCAATAACCCTGATGAACATAAATACAAAAGTCCTCAACAGAATACTAGCAAACAAACTCAATAGCACTTGAAAGGATCATTCATCATAATCAGGTAGGATTTATCCCTGGGATGCATGGATAATTCAACATACACAAATTAATAAATGTGATGCATCACATTAATAGAACGGACAAAAACCATATGATCATCTCAATAGATACAGAAAAAACATTTGAAAAAATTCTACATCCTTTTATGATAAAAACTCACAAGTTAGGCATAGAAGGAATTTATCTCAACACAATACTGGCCATATATGAAAACCCCACAGCTAACACCATATCCAATGGTGAAAAGTGGAAAGCTTTTCCTTTAAGGTTAGGAACAAGACAAAGGTGCCCACTCTCACAGCTTGTTTTCAACACAGTACTGCAAGTACTAGCCAGAGCAATTAGGCAAGAAAAAGAAATAAAAGACATCCAAATAGGAAATAAAGAAGTAAAATTGTCTGTTTGCTGATGACATGAGCTTATATATAGAAAACCCTAAGAACTATACTATCAAACTATTAGAACTGATAAACAAATACAGTAAAGTTGCAAGGTACAAAATCAAGAAGCAAAAATCCATAGCATTTCCTTACACTAGCAGTGACCTATCTGAAAAACAAATCAGGAAATCAACCTCATTTAAAATAGCATCAAACAAATAAAATACGTTAAGAAATGTGATCAAGGAGGCAGAAGATCTATATGCAGAAAACTATGAAACAATGAAATAAGTTGTAAATGATACAAAGAAAAAGATATCTTGTGTCCACGGATTGGAAAAATTAATAATGTTAAAATGCCCATACTACCCAAAGTGATCTATAGAGTCTATGCAATCCCTAGCAAAATTCCAATGTCTTTTCACAGAAACAGAAATACAATCCTAAAACTCATAGAGAACCACAAAAGATCTTTAATTCAATAGTCAAAGTAATCTCGAGCAATAAGAACAAGGCTGGAGGAATCATTATCTGACTTCAAATCTAGTACAAAGCTATAGTAATCAAAACAATATGGTACTGGCATAAAAACGGACACAATGACTGAAAGAACAGAATAGAGAGGCCAGAAATAAACTCATATATATGGTCAATTGATTTTTGACAAAGGTATCATGAGCACACAATAGAGAAAGAATAATCTCTTCAATAAATTGGAAAACTGAATATCCACAAGCAAAAGAATAAAACTGGACCCTTTTCTAACCCCATATGAAAAAATCAACTCAAATGGATTAAAGAATTAAACATGTGACTTGAAACTGTAAAACTACAAGAAAAACAAACATAGGAAAATGCTTCATGACATTGCGCTAGGCCAAGATTTCTTTTGCCAAAAGTACAGGCAACAAAAGCAAAAATAGAAAAATGGGATTGCATCAAACTAAAAGTCTTCTGCACAGCAAAGAAAGCAACTAATAGAGGGAAAAGACAATCCATGGACTGAGATATAATATTTGCAAACTATATATCTGATAAGAAGACAATATTCAAAATACATGAAGAATTCAAATAACTCAATAGCAAGAAAATACATCAAAAACAAGGAAAAGACCTAAACAGACACTTAATAAAAGACATACAAATGAGTAACAGATAAACAAATATTCATCATCACTAATCATCAGAGAAATACAAATTAAAATCACAATGAAATATCACTTAGCACCTGTTACTATGGCTATTATCTAAAAGACAAAAGCTAAGCCAGGCACAATGGCTCAAGCCTGTAATCCCAGCACTTTGGGAGGCCAAGGCCAGTGGACCACTTGAGGTCAGGAGTTCAAGAGCAGCCTGGCCAGCATGGTGAAACCCCATCTCTACTTAAAAAAAAAAAAAAAAAAAAAAAAGCCACGCGTGGTAGTGCGTGCCTGTAATTTAAGTTACTCGGGAGGCTGAAGTGGGAGAATCACTTGAGCCCAGAGGTGGAGATCACAGTGAGCCAAGATGTACTCCAGCCTGGGCAACAGAGCGAAACCCTGTCTCAAAACAAAAAAGAAGGCAAAAGATAACAAATGTTGGCAAGGAAGGATGCAGAGAGAAAGAAACCTTTGCGCACTGTTGAGGAAATGCAAATTAACACAGTGTTTCTTTTTTATTTTTTTGAATTTTTTCTTCTTTATTGGCATATTAGTGATAACTATTAGTTTTGTTACATGCTCTAAAATTTATATTTATTTTGAAATTTTCCTAGTCTACTTAGAAGTGATATAAGTTCTCACATAGCACAATAAAAATATAACAGTATACTTCCTTTCTCCCCTTTTGGCCTTTATATGTTATTATGCATTCTGTTTTTCATATGGTTTCTGGGTTTTTTTGTTTTTTGTTTTTTGATTTCTGGTTTTTTTTTTAAGGGAGTCTCACTCTGTCGCCCAGGCTAGAGTGCAGTGGTGCGATCTCAGTTCATCGCAACCTCCGCCTCCCAGGTCCAAGCCATTCTCCTGCCTCAGCCTCCTGAGTAGCTGGGATTACAAGCGTCTGCTAGCACACCTGGCTATTTTTTGTATTTTTAGTAGAGATGGGGTTTCACCATGTTGGCCAGGCTGGTCTCAAACTCCCCACATCAGGTGATCCACCCGCCTCGGCCTCCCAAAGTGTTAGGATTACAGGCGCAAGCCACCAAGCCCAGTCTTTTCATATGTTATTAACCCCACATTATGTTTTTATCATTTTTGTTTAAATGGTCAATTATCTTCCAAAAATACTTAAGTCACAAGAAAAACATTCTCCTATATTTTGCCTTGTAGACACCATTCCCAGCATTTTGTTTGTTTGTTTCTTTGTGTTGATTCATATTTCTCCCTGGAATCATTTTCCTTCTTCCTGAAGGACTCCTTTAACATTTCTTGGGTCTTTTAGAGATCAATTACTTTGTGTTTCTGAAAAAGTTTAGTTTGCCTCCAATTTGGAAAGATATTTGCTTTGGAAAGATAAAATTCTGAGTTGATATTTACTTTTTAAATTATTTTAAAGGTCTTACTCCATTGTCTTTTGCTTGCATTGCTGCTTATGAGAAACCTGCTTTAACACAGCAATTTTGAAAAACAGTATGGAGGTTCCTCAGAAAATTTAAAATAGAATTACCATGTGATCCGGCAATCCTACCTCTAGGTATATTTCCAAAAGGAATTGAAAACTGTATGTCAAAGATATCTGTACTCCCAAACTCACTGCAGAATTATTCACAATAGCTAAGATGTGGAAGCAACCTAGGTGTCTGTCATCGGATGAATGGATAAAGAAAATGTGGTACATATACACAACAGAGTACTATTTAGCCTTTTAAAAGGGAGGAAATTCTGTCATTTGTAATAACAGGAATGAACCCGTAAGACATTATGCTAAGTGAAATAAGCCAGACAAAGAAAGATAAATACAGCATGATCTCACTTACATGTGGAATCTAAAAAAGTTGAACTCATAGAAGAAGAGAGTAGAATAGGGGTTTCCAGAGGCTGGGGGTTGGGGTAGATGAGGTAAAGGAAGATGTTCACAGGGTATAAAGTTTCAGTTCGACAAGTGGAATTTGAGTGATCTATTGCACAGAAGGATGGCTACAATAAATAATAATGCATTGTATATTTTAAAATCAAATAAAATGTAGATTTTAAATGTTTTCACCACAAAAAATAAGTATTTGAGGTGATGGATTTGGTAATTAGCCTGATTTAGTTATTCCACATTGTAAACATATATCAGCACATCACATTGTAGCCCCATAAATATATACAATTATTATTATCAATTAATAACATTTAATATGTTTCTAAAGATTATTCTTCCTTTTACAGTGGAAAGAAGTTAGACGGGTACAAGAGTGAAACTAATGAAACTGGTTAGGAGGTCATTCCAATAGCCCAGGAAAGATGGTGACTTGGATTAGGGCAAGGAAAAATGGATGTATGTCAAGATGTATTCAGGAGATAGAAATGGCTGGATTGTCTGAGACTGGATATGGAAGACAGTGCAAAAGGAATCAAAGATAACTTTCATGTTCCTGTCTTGAGCAACTGACAGATTCTGGTACTATTTACAACTATTTAGTATCTTCTGTATTGTTTATTTGTTAGTTTGTTCCAATGCTTGGCCACATTTCACAAGATGTTTCTTGCTATTACTGGCTCTCTATCACCTTTCACAATTTTACAGTTCTGTTTATATTCTAATTATATGGGCCTTCCTATGATCTCCTTACAATGAATAATACAGTATTTTAGATAGCTTATCTCCTACTTTTCCACTTTCTCTACATTGCATTTACCCCAAGGTGTCTCTGCTTAATGGAAATATTTTATACTAATTGAGATTAAAAATTAAAAGGCATTATTTTAAAAAATGTTTAAGAATTTAAAACATTAAATAAAATTTGTAGAATAGATGAGTTGTTAGTGAATGTTGTGGTTCAGAGCAGTTTTGTCGTTTGGGCTTGAGTTTGGGTTTCCTTGTTTATTTTGGTCATTCCCAAATTAAAGGAAACATGAAAACAGAATGTTAATGATATGGTTAGGTTTTGTGTCCCACCCAAATCTCATCTTGAATTGTAATCCCCATGTGTCAAAGGTGGGAGGCAATTGGATCATGGGGGCGGTTTCCCCTACACTGTTCTCGTAACAGCGAGTGAGTTCTCATGAGATCTGTTGGTTTATAAAGCAGTTTTCCCTGCTCTTGTTCACTCTCCTCTCTCCTTCCACCACGTGAAGAAGGTGCTTGCTTCCTATTCCCCTTCCACCATGATTGTAAGTTTCCTGAGGCCTCCCGAGCCATGCAGAACTAACTGTGAGTCAATTAAATCTCTTTCCTTTATAAATTACCCAGTCTCAGGTAGTATCTTTATAGCAACGTGAGAACAGACTAAGATAGTTAGGAAGAACCTGAGATAAATCTAGATATGTGAGATAACTTCTAGAAAAGAAGCCATGATTTGGAAACCCAGGAACAACTGCTATAGCAAATAGCCAAAAGAGAAACCTAAACAGATCAGTTTTTTTCCTGCCTATTTTCAAAAAAGAATTGTAAGAAAACTGTAAGAAATGTTGTTTTCAAAAAATTTTTACAAACAGAACAGAGGCTATAGAGATGGCAGACAAGCACATGAAACGATGTTCAACATCATTAGTCATTAGGGAAAATCAAATAAAAACCACAATAAGACATCACAACATACCTTTTATTTTACATCAAATGCTGGTGAGGGAGCAAAGAAAATGGACTACTCATATATTGCTGGTGGGAATGTAAAATGGTACAGCCGCTCTGAAAAAAACAGTTTGGCAGTATCATATAAAACTAAACATGGAACTACCCTACAACACAACAATTGCACTCTTGGGCATGTAACCCAGAGAAATGAGAACTTATGTTCACAGAAAAACCTATGCAAGAATGTTCATAAAAGTTTTATCTATAATAGCCCTAAAGTGGAAACAACCCAGCTGCTCTTCAACATGTGAGAGGTAAAACAAACCGTGGTATGTCATACTGTGGAACACTTCTCAACAACAAAAAGGAACGAGCTCTTCGTACATGCGACAATCTAGATACATCTCTACAGAAAGATGCTGGGTGAAAAAACCAAACCCCATAATGTTTTCATGTTTCAGTTCATATAACATTCTTGAAATGGCAAAATTATAGAGAATAAATTAGTGGTTTCCTGAAGTTAAGAATGAAGAGCAGAGAGCATGGTTATAAAGGTAGCAACAGGCATGCTTGTGCAGATGGAAGTGCTCTGTGTCTTGACTGTGGTGGTGATGGCTGCATCAACTTACACGTGATAAAGTTTAACTGAACTGAATGCCTACATATACAATACACATAATGCAGAAGTGGTGAAATCTACAGAAGATGACTGAATTGTATCAATGTGTCAATTTTCCCATAGTGATATTGTACTATAATTTTGCAAGATATTATCAGCGGTGAAAACTTGTTGAAGGGCACATGAGATCTCTCTATATTACTTAAAACTGCATATGATTCTGTAAGTATTTCAAAACAAGATGTTTAACTGAAAATAGTAGAACAGCAGCTGTCACACTAACTACGTGAAAGATCCTGATATTATTTTGTGCAGCATTCTTTCATGGAAATCTTGCTAATGATACTAAAATTGTTCTAGGAAATATAATAATTTTGTTTATTAGTAGTATGTGTTTTAAACAAACAAGGACAAAAGTTTTTAAAATAAGCTAAAGAACAGAACACAATATAGCTGCCACTTACTGAGGCCATATTAGAAAGCATACAACAGGCTGGGCATGGTGGCTCACACCTGTAATCGCAGCACTTTGGGAGACTGAGGTGGGCAGATCACCTGAAGTCAGGAGTTCGAGACCAGCCTGGCCAACATGGTGAAACCTTGTCTCTACTAAAACTAAAAATTAGCTGGGCATGGTGGCACACACCTGTAATCCCAGCTACTTGGGAGGCTGAGGCAGAAGAATCGCTTGAACCTGGGAGACAGAGGTTGCAGTGAGCTGAGATCATGCCATTGCACTCCAGCCTGGGCAACAGAGTGAGACTGTCTCAAAAAAAAAAAAAAAGGCACACAAAAGATGTCTAATACATGGCAGCTATCCATGATGATAGTACTCTTCCCCACATACTATGCCAAATGTTTTATTATAACATGATTAACCTACAGCAACCAGAATGTCTCATGAAAAATGAGCTCAAAGATGCAAAGTAATTATATAAGTTACATAATTATTTTCCTGTGGTCTTCAAAGTAAGAACTTAGATATATAAGAGTTAGTATGTTTGTGATATACAATTATAATATAACTGTGGCACCTGAATCAGAAACTAGATCCATATGGCAATAAATTCCACATTATTTTTTTTATACCACAAAGCCACTGCTGTGCATTTAGGATGGCAAAAGTGAAGCATAAAGGATGAAATACGAAATGTAAAAACCGCAAACATCAACTTTAATAATGACAATAATGCAGATGGCTTTTCCAATGCAATACATGGTAGGAGCCATAGAGATGTTCACATCTACTAATCCAGTAACCCATTCATAGAGCTAGGTTAAAGCCCTACAGAAAGAAAAATGGAGAAAAGATTAAAGAGATCTTTTAAATATTAAAGTCCATTTTGTTGACTTTAGCATGCTGGAACAAACACAGTTTGCTTTCTCTATGCAACACAATCCAATCAGAAGGTCCCATGGGCTAACTTGAACAGAGAAAGTAATTTGTGAAAGTAATTTGAACTTGAGAGCAGATCCAGAGACTAGGAAGCCACCTGCCGGGACTAAGAAATGACATCACTAAAAAGGGCCCAATGGAAGACTAGCTGGACCTGCTCACTCCTGAGTGTTGGGGACACATCCACAGGGAGGTGACAGCCTTGAAACTCACTGCTAAGCCCCCTGAAGGGTACTAGCGAAAGCAGGTGGAGGGAGGTGTCCCCACATGATAGTAATCTTCTGCGTAACCATCTAAGAGGATGCTGGGAAACTGACCAAGGGAAGAGACCACAGAGTACTTCAGAAAAAACACTGTGCTTCAGGCACCTGACAAGACAAGGACATTGGAAAGTGACGAGTAGCCCTTTCATCCAGCAGCCTCCCTCTAAGCCCTCTACTGACACAGTTCAACATCAAACTCATGGCAAAGGAGAAATGCTCTAAAGGTCCAGCTCCATTATCAGAGCAGATAATAAAGGCAGGATGCAGAGCTGAAAGGCAATATACTGATAACTCCATTAACAAAATATACTGCTTCCCACTCCAACAGTCAAGGTTTATTTACTCCATTGATCATTTCCAAACTGTGTCAACATCCTAGAAGTCTAGAGCAGTCATTTATTTCCCCGCCTCCTCTCATTTTCTACTCACTCTCTCCTAGTCATCCTCACGCTTGATGCAGTATCTGTACATACAACAGGCATTCCATAAGTGCCTGTGCAATTGAATTAAAATACATTACAGCCTAAAGTGTTTCAAAGGCTCAGACCATTTCATACTTTAAAAAATACTTTTTACCTTAACACACGAGAATACAGAAAGCCCTGTGGGACATTGAGTTTTTAGGTATTTCCTAATATATTACAATTCCAGCCTGAGAGACAGGATAAAGTAAATTTGTTTATAAAATGCACTTTTGTACTTGTGTACATCAAAAGGGCTACTGCTCCATCTGTGCACCCTTTTTCAGCAAAGAACTGAAATAATTTGTAAAAGGACTAAAATGAAAAAATATCCCTACTATTTTTAATCCTAAATTTTTACTTTCAAAATACATTGTACAGACCCAAGGGAAATCCTCTGGGTCTCTGAGAATGCATAAAATGTATCTTATAAATTAAATCCAAAATACATCAAAGAATAATATAACACCTCTGTGACCTCCACCTAAAATTGCCAGTTGCTATCATTCAGTGCTTTGTCATGCAGTAAAACTAGAGAAGTTTTTAGGCCCTAGAGTCCTCTCTAATGCCCCCAACCCACTCCCACACCCCTTACCAGTAGTATATACTATTCTAGCTTTACCCTTATGGCTTAGCTGTGGTTGTTTTGTTTACTTTTATATGGCATGTATTTGCATCAATGAGCAATATGTAATATTGTGTGATGTGTTATTTTTAATTTTTTAGAAAGGTGTTCCAAAACATGCTTATTATATCATTCAACACTATGTTTTCAAGGGCTTTCCATTTAGAAATACAAATCTAGTTCACTAGATTCATTTGATTTCTGTACAGAGCTAATGAATGTGTCAAAATTATCTCATCTCCCAATAATAGATGTAAGGTGACTTACATGTTTTCATGATTTTTTAAAAAGCTGCAATTATCATTTATAGGCCTCCTTATGGAAATATAAAACATTTTTTCAATAGTACATATAGTCATGATCACATAATGACATTTTAGTCAGCAACAGATTGCATATATGAAAGTAGACCCAAAAGATTATAATGGAGCTGAAAAATTCCTATCACCCAGTGATGTCACAGCCATTGCAATGTCATGGCACATAATGTCATGTGCTACTTATGTGTTTGTGGTGATACTGGTATAAACAAATCTACTGTGCTACCAGTCATATAAAAGTATAACACATTCAATTATGTACAGCACATAATACTTGATAATGACAATAAATGACCATGTTATTGGTTTATGTATTTACTATACTATATATTTATCATTAGAGTGTACTTTCTAGTTTTTTAAAAAGTTAAATGTAAAACAGCCTCAGGCAGGTCCTTTTAGCAGGTATTCCAGAAGGCATTGTTATCATAGCAGATGACAGCTCCATGAGTGCTACTGTCCCTGAAGACCTTCTAGTGGGATAGATGTGAGGTGGAAGAAAGTAATATTGGCAACCCTGACCCTATATAGACATGAGCTAATGGGTGCGTTTGTGTCTTAGTTATTAACAACAAAGTTTAAAACATAAAAAAATTAAAAATAGACAAAAGCTTATAGCATAAAGATGTAAAGAAAAAAATATTTTCTACAGCTTACAATGTGTTTGTTTTAAGCTGTGTTATTATGAAAGAGTTTTAAAAAATTTAAAGTTTATAGAGTAAAAATGTTACAGTAAGCTAAGGTTAATTTATTCCTGAAGAAAGGAAACTGTTTTAATAAATTTAGTACAGCCTAAGTGTACAGCGTTTAGAAAGTCTAATGTCATGTACAGTCATGTCCTAGGCCTTCACATTCATTCAGCAGTCATTCACTGACTTACCCAGAGCAACTTCCAGGAAAGTACTGTAAGCTCCATTCACAGTCAGTGCCCTAGACAGGTGTGCCATTTTTATCTTTTCTTCTGTATTTTTAGTGTACTTTTTCTCTATTTAGACATGTTTAGATAAACAAATACTTACCATTGTGTTACAATCACCTACAGTATTCAGTACAGTAACATGCCGTATAAGTTTGTAGCCTAGAAGCAACAGGACGGATATATCATAATATGTTATGTAGTAGGATATACCATCTAGATTTGTGTAAGTACACTCTATGACATCTGCACAAAGACGAAATCACCTAATGATCCATTTCTCATAACACATACACATTGTTAAGCAATGCATGGCTGTACCAAAATAATCACTGGGTCATAGGATATGCACACTATTCATATTTCTACATAATACCGAATTGCTATCCATAATGACTGTACCAGGTTATACCAAGTTAAGTTTTATATTTTGAGCAGCAAGCCAAATTAGACACATTGGCCTCTATTTGTATTAAAAGGGTATGCACAGGACTTGATTTTGAATTTGAATAGGACTACTGTGGTAGAAGGCGATTAGTCTACCAGTAGAAGTGATGGCTGACTGTCAAATGCTCTGGATCAAAGGATATCAGCTGGAAAATAGACTCTGGATAGAGACTGGCCATCCTCTTAATTTCTTCTCCTATCTGTCCCCAGTAATCAATCCTTGGCAATTAATCTATTCAAAACCTGTCCCCACTGTCCTAACTTATGACTGAAATGTGCAGAATTCTCTGAGATCACAGTCCTATTTTTAGCCAATGTACCTTTAGGTCTCTTGACGAATGGTACTAATATTATTAGCTATTGGCATCACTCAATATAATATCCCTCCCAGCATATTTTACTTACTCATTCATTCATTCATAGGCACTTATTTAATGGGCACTGACTGTAGCCATAAGTACAGTAAAAACCAGACATGGTTTCAACCCTCAAGCAGACCACAGACTAGAACTATTGTATAACAATATGGTAGCCACCAGCCATGTGTAGTATTGAGCATCTGAAATGCAGATCATACCAACTTAGATGTGCGGTAAGTGTAAAACAATAGATTTTGAAGACTTAGTACAAAAAGAATATAAAATATATCATTAATAATTTTATATTAGTTATTTGCTAAAATGATAATATTCTGAATATGGTAGGTTAGAAAATAAGACAGTATGAATTTATCCTTTTACTTTTTTAACATGGCTACAGCAAGATTTAATTTTACGTATGTGGTTCACCTAATATTTTATAAATGTAAAATATATTTCTGGTCAAGAAGATAGGAGAGACAAGTAGAATCATACAGTGAGATGATTCCTAAGGTGGGTAAGTACAAAGCTCTATAGGGGCATGCAGAAAGGACAAAGCCAATTCAGCTATAAGCACGAAAGAAAGCAAACCACAGAAACTGAGACCGTAAGTAATCAAAATGGTAAGAAGTTTTATTATTACTTAAAAAGCTTGAGTTAACTAAGTGAGAAAAGATGAAGGGAATGAAATTATTCCGGGCAGAGGCCCAGAGGCAAAAGAGAGCAAAAACTAGCTAGATTAGTCAAAACTAGGCTTGATTAGTTTGCTCTTGTAACCTTGGGCGAATAATAACAATAATCATTGTTTCTGTATTATTTCTTCCCTTAAAAAAGCAACTTTAGACAACTGAACAAAAAACATCAAATAAGCAGAAAGTAATTTTTGACCATTTATCTACATAATACTGTCGTATATGATAAGAATCACCGAATCTAAAGGATAAGCAGCTTTAGAATAACACCCATTGTGCATGTAAACTTACACCACAAAAGATGAAGCTGAGGAATTATTTTAACCTCCAGGGCTTTTGCACAGGTCTTGACTCAAATCTATGGAGAATAATAGAATCTTCACGTTTTAGCAGTTCAAAAATGCATTATGTTATAGCTAGCTTTTCTCTGTTTTAGAGGCCATAGGCTTTTTGTCTTTTTACTCTATGCTTTTTAAATTGTGAAACAAAAAGAATGCAAAATTAAAATTTTGATTAACTCATCTGGTGAATGAAAGAGTAAGTTATATAAAGATAAGAATGCCTTTTATTTATATACTCTATTCCTATCTCAAACATCAAGCATCACTGAAAAACACTCATAAATAAAATCAAGAAAAAAGTGGAAAAGGGGATGTATTGAGGTTTGTTGTTAGATAACTGTTTTTAACAAGACTTAAAAAACAATTTCAACAGCTGGAAATTACATTTGGCTCATGTTAAAGAAATGTTGCTGCTGCTGCTTGCAAATATGATGAATGGAGAACATCTTGCAAATATATTGGATAAAAATAAATATTTCATTATGCTAAATGGGTTTTATTGTTCTGTTTGTAAATTTGAAACAACTGTAAGCACTGCATGGCAGCACATGCTGTTGGTCATTTTTACTGAATTGCAGGTAGTGACTTTTGTTTTGTTTTTTCTTTCCCATCCCAACTCTTTTTTTGCCTGTAGTGCCTTTGAAAATAACTTTTGGTATTTGATGATAGAAACTAAAATAGTTATCTCCTCCCCCATTGAAGTACAGAACTATGCACTTTTAAAAATTATATCTTTGATCTTTGAAATGTAAAAAGCAATGCTAAGTTGGTAACACTAAGTAGAATTCAATAATAAAAGGAAATCAGTGATTCCAGAAAAATGGCAGGCAAGTAAAACCTAGGCCTATTATTTTTAAAAGATGCATCCAAGCTTGCCTTAATAATTCATAAAATATACAACCTCATAAATGCACAAAGAAGTACAACATAGCCCAGAGAAATAAACTGAGATGGAAATATTGATCTCCACAATATTTTTAATAAATGCAATACCAAGTTATGCCCTCCAAGCAAATAATCCTCACAGCACACTCATGCCCTACTTGTTCATAGTTACCTCATCTGGGAATTCAAACCATAGACAGTGAAATCTAGTCCTCGAGGAAAACAACAATGGGAAGAAATATCACCAGACAATGAAAGGAAGGAAGGAAGAAGTCAAGAAACCAAATCTTAAACGTTACTCTGAAGAAGGCTTTGTTAGCTGGAACACATTTACTGAAAGATGTAAAGGAAAGAAAAACCTTGTTTTAAGACAGTGTTGAGAAGAAACCTGCCCTTACTACAACCCAAAACAACAGAAGAATTTCTAAAAAGAAATGGAATTCCCATCTTAAATAAAGCTAGGCAAAAATCTATCATACCACTCACAATGTATATGAAAGAATAGTGAAACCCAAGCAAGGGTGAGGGAAGATGGCAGAGGAGGGCTCTGCCACAGACTCACTCAAACTCCATGTGGGAAACACTGTTATTGAGGTGGGTGGAAAACAGTGATCTGTGAACAGACTGTGGCTTCCAGGGCACTGGCAGTAAGCAGTCAAGGTTAAATACTCTCTAATATACACTCCTGTGCCATAAAGGAAGAAATGCTGCTCTCTCTTCTCTTCCAGCCCCAACATAAACCTGTTTCAGATCAGAGGTCCAGGGGGAATTCAATTCATTCAAAGATTCAGAGAGAGGAACTGGCATAGGACCTAGAATAGACAAAGATATTAAAGGAGAGAGAGGGAAGGAGGGGAAAAAAATAGAGGTAGGGAAGAAAGGGGGGGATGGGATGGAGGGTTAAGTGATAGGAAAAACAAGAAAAACAGCTAAGAAAATGTCACCAGAAAAAAATGTTTCCACCAAGTAAATAATAATCATGACTAAAAGATCACTAAAACTTGAAGAACTTAATGAAAAAGTAAAATCACTCTTTTTTTTTTTTTTTTTTTTTTTTTTGAGACAGAGTCTCGCTCTGTGGCCCAGGCGGGAGTGCAGTGGTGCAATCTCGGCTCACTGCAAGCTCCGCCTCCCGGGTTCACGCCATTCTCCTGCCTCAGCCTCCCGAGTAGCTGGGACTACAGGCGCCCGCCATCACGCCCGGCTAATTTTTTTTGTATTTTTAGTAGAGACGGGGTTTCACCGTGTTAGCCAGGATGTAAAATCACTCTTGAAAAAGAAGATATAAAAGAGCTCTTGAAAGATATGGCAAAACCACAGAATGAGATGACTTAGGAACTTGCAGAGCTCATTAAAAAAAATTAAATCTACACAAGAAGCTGCTCAAAGTGAAAAAAGCATCACTGAAAAATCCATTAAGGGGCATGAAAGACACAATGAATAAATGAGCAAAAGGAAATGGAAATTAACAACGAATTAGAAAGAAGATTAATAAAAATTACATGTGTCTAACTGCTTTCCCAAGAAGAACACGGAACAAATTAAAGACAAATTTTCCAGAACTAGCAGAAGACTTAAACTTATACACTGAGAGGGCACACACATGTCAGGACACACCAATACAGAATGATAACACTGAATTGGGTATAACTAAACTTGCTGGTACTTAAAGAAAAAAGCCCAAAAGTATTTTTAGTGGAAAAAAAAATCAAGCCAACCTCAGACTTCTCCATAGAAACATTCAATATACTTAAACAATTAAAAGATCCCTGTAAAGTACTCAGGAAATGAAAGTGTAACCAAACTGCTGTTTAATTTTAAACAAAACAAACCCCCGAAAAGTTTAAAGGAAAAAAATGCTTATTTTTAAACATTTTAAAGCCCACAAAATTTCATTTATATAGCTAAAAAAAAAAAACTACAGAAGAAAAACTTCAATATATAAAAAAATTACTTGGAAATGCTATGACTGGCTGGCTGTCACTCCAAAGCCTTGTAGCAGCCACCTCTGCCTCAAGGTCCTCCTACTTTTCCCACGGTGTCCCCTCCCTCCCTCACCCT
This sequence comes from Homo sapiens, assembly GCF_000001405.40. Taxonomy (NCBI): domain Eukaryota; kingdom Metazoa; phylum Chordata; class Mammalia; order Primates; family Hominidae; genus Homo; species Homo sapiens. The sequence goes on from NC_000007.14 coordinate 144,714,106, forward strand.
CATATATTACCATGGTCCTTCTTCCTTTCAACAAGACTTTGCTCAAGCAGCAGCTTTTCCTTCAAATCTTTTCTGATTCCACTTTTCTGGGCTTGTGTCCCTTCTGCATTTCTAATAAACTGACCAACTTATATGCTATAAATATTATCCCTAAACTAACAGAACTCTAAAATATTGAAAATGGGCAAAGGCTTGCCTTTTAATTAAAAACTAAAAGAAACCACGGGTCATACATCACTAGTGGAAGAAGCTTATTTTCCTTTCTCAATTCAGGAAGATAAACGACAAATAAAAAATAACTAGTGAGCTATAATTAAGTGAAGTATATCAAATGATGTGATATAAAAACAGATCTTTTCCACTGTCTATTGAAAATTTACAAAAATAGATCTTTTTCATTGTCTATTGAAATATACCCAGGCCACAAAGAAAACTAGACAAAAGGTCCAAATAGCAAAAAATAAGCCAGAGAATATTCTGTGGTCATAATGCAATAAAACTATGAATTAATTATAAACTAGAAATAACAAAAAAACCCTAAGAGCTAGAAATTTCCTTAAGTCAAAAGCAAAAGATGGGGTTGAAGAGTTAAATGAACTGATTATTTGGGGAAGGAAAAAGACAATGCTATGTTAACCTAATTAGGAACATGAAAAGGAATCATTTAAAAGATACAGTGCTGAACAGAACAAATAAAACTGAAACAACTGAAGAAAAAAATAATCTGACTGTAGCATCCCAGTTCTTGGCCTAGGTCTAACAAGAGAAGCCAAGAATTTGCCCACTCTTAACATTTTAGGGCTATTGTCTGAAGGAAACAATTAAGTCCAGCGGGAATTAAGACAGCTACTGAATGTACTGGTACTCCTGGGACTGAGAGGATCCACCAGCTTCCTCCGCTACTCTCCTCCACATTTAAATGAAAACCGTCACAGATTGGGAGACCACATTTGTAATACATATGTAGCAAAATGCTTGTAACTTAAATATATAAGCAATGGCTACAAATCATCAATAAAACCACCACCAACATAATAAAAATTAAGCAAATGGTTTGAACTGATGACACTTCACAAAAGAAAATACACAAATAGCTAAACAAGCACATGAAAAGGAAATGAAAATTGAATCAAAACCATAATGATGCTATTTCACATCCACTAGAATGTCTAAAAATTAAGACAACGAAAATCAGATATTGAGAGGGTGTGAAGCTGCTGAAACTTCACTCATTGCTGGTAGAATTGTAAAACAGTTCAACCACTTGGAACACCTGCTGGCAGGTCGTAATGTTAAATATACAATTACTCTATGGTATTTACCCCAAATAAAGAAAAACATACATTGACAAAAAAAGATTTTTCCAGCTTTATTGAAATGTGATCAACATACAAAAATTATATATGTTTAAGGTGTTGTATTAATCAGGATTCTCTAGAGGGACAGAAATAGTAGGATAAATATATATTATATATTATATTAACATGCATATATTATACATATTATATATTATATGCATATTATATAATATATATGGATTATATCTATATATATAAATTACATATATATATATATATATATATGGGATTTTATTAACTCACATGATCAAAAGGTCCCACAATAGGCAGTCGGCAAGCTGAGGAGCAAGGAAGCCAGTCCGAGTGCCAAAACTGAAGAACTTGGAGTCCAATGTTCAAGGGCATGCAGCATGGGAGAAAGATGTAGTCTGGAAGTCTAGACCAGTCTAGTCTTTTCACATTTTTCTGCCTGCTTTATGTTCTAGCCACAATGGCAGCTGATTAGATGGTGCCCACCCAGATTAAGGGTGGGTCTACCTTTCCCAGCCCACTGACGCAAATGTTAATCTCCTTTGGCAACAGTCTCACAGACACATCCAGGATCAATACTTTGCTTCTTTCAATCCAATCAAGTTGACACTCAGTATTAACCATCACGGGTGTACAGCATGATGTTTTGATATAAATATACATTGTGAAATGATTACCACAATCAAGCTAATTAACGTATCATCTCACATAGTTACCTTTTTTTCTCCCAATAAGATTTGTACAAGGATTTTACAGCAGCTTTACTGATAAAGGCAAAAACTGAAAACACCAAATACACCCCATTAACAGAAAAATAGATAAAAAGTGTAGTTTATTCAGTTAATGGCTACTATATGGAAAGGGACAGTTTAACAATTTGTCCCCACCCAAATCTCATGTCAAATTGTAATCCCCAATGTTGAAGGTGAGGCCTGGTGGGAGGTGTTTGGGCCATCGGGACAGATCCCTCATGGCTTGCTGCTGTCCTGGAGACAGTGAGTGAGTTGTCTCAAGATCTGGTTGTTGTAAAGAGTAGCAGCTTCCCTCCCACTCTCTTTCTTGCTCGTACTCCTATCATGTGAGATGCCTGCTCCCCTTTTGCCTTCCACCATAATTTTAAGCTTCCTGAGGTCTCAGAAGTAGATGCTAGGATTATGCTTCCTGTACAGCCTACAGAAGTGTGAGCCAATTAAAACTCTTATGAATTACCCAGTCTCAGGTTTTTTGTTTGTTTGTTTGTTTTTTTTGAGACAGACTCTCACTCTGTCACCCAGGCTGGAGTGCAGTGGAGTGATTTCGGCTCCCTGCAACCTCCGCCTCCAGGGTTCAAGTGATTCTCCTGCCTGAGCCTCCCAAGTAGCTGGGATTACAGGTGTGTGCCACCACACCCAGCTAATTTATTTATATATATATATATATATATATATATATATATATATATATATATATATATATATATTTTTTTTTTTTAGTAGAGACAGGGTTTTGCCATGTTGGCCAGGCTGGTCTCAAACTCCTGACCTCAGATGATCCTCCCGCCTTGACCTCCCGGCCAGGTATTTCGTTATAGCAATGCAAGAATGGCCTAATACAGAAAATTGGTACCAAGGAGTGGCGCACTGCTATAAAGATACCTGAAAATGAGGAGGTGGCTTTGCAACTGAGTAACAGGCAGACATTGGAAGAGTTTTGGAGGGCTAGAAGACAGGAAGATGAGGGAAGGTTTGCAACTTCTTGAAGACTGGTTAAATCGTCTGACCAAAATGCTGTTAGGGATATGGATAGTGAAGTCTAGGCTGGTGAGGTCTCGGATAGAAATCAGGAACTTATTGGGAACTGGAGCAAAGGTCACCCATATTATGCCTTAGCAGAGAACTTGGCTGCAGTGTGCCCTGCCATAGGAATCTGTGGAAGTTTGAACTTCAGAGTGATAATTTAGAGTATCTGGTGCATAAAATTTCTAAGCAGCAAAGCAACCAAGATGTGCCCTGACTGCTTCAAACAACCTATGCTCAGATGTAAAGCAAACAAATGTCTTAAAGTTGAAATTTATATCTAAACGAAAGCAGAACATAAAAGTTTGAAAAATGTACAGCCCAGTCATGTGGCAGAGAATGAAAAAGCCTCTCTTCGGAGAGAAATTCAAGCAGGCTGTGGAGCAAACACTTGGTAGAGAGATTTGCACAACTAAAAGGGAGCCAAGTGCTATTAAAATATCCAAAACAACAGGGAAAAGGCCTGCAAGGAATTTTAGAGACTTCACAGCAGCCCCTCCTGTCACAGCCCAGAGGCCTAGGAGGGAAGAATGGTTTCTTGGGCCAGGCCCAGGCCCAGATGTCCTGCACAGCCTCAGGACACTGCTCCCTGCATCCTGGATGCTCTAGCTCCAGCCTTGGCTCAAAGGGCCCCAAATATAGCTCAGACTGCTGCTTCAAATGGTGTAAGCCATAAGCCTTCACAGCTTCCACATGGTGTTAAGCCTACAGGCATGCAGAGTGTAAGACTGAAGAATGCTTGGCAGCCTCTACCTACATTTCAAAGCCTGGCTGCCCAGGCAGAAGCCTGCTGCAGGGCTGGAGCCCTCACAGAGAACCTCTACTAGGGCAGGGTGGAGGTGAAATGTGGGGTTGGGGTCTCCACACATTGTCGCCACTAGAGCACTGCCTAGTGGAGCTATGGGAAGGGGGCCACCATCCTCCAGATCCCAGAATGGTAGATCCACCAGAGGTTGCATCCTGCACCTGGAAAAGCTGCAGGCACTCAGCAGCCTATAAGCAGCTATAGGGGTTCCACCCTGCAAAGCCACAGGGGTGGAGCTGCCCAGGGCCTTGGGATCCCACTTCTTACACTAGTATTCCCCAGATGCAGAACCTGAAATCAAGGACTATTTTGGCGTTTTAAGATTTAATGACTGCCCTGCTGGTTTCTGAGCTTCCATGGGGTCTGTAGTCCCTTTCTTTTGGCTGATCTCTCCCTTTCAGAACAGGAATATTAACCCAATTCCTATACTCCCATTGTATCTTAGGAGTAAATAACTTGTTTTTGATGTTACAGGCTCATAGGTGGAAGGATCTTGCTTTGTCTCACATGAGATTTTGGACTTTTGAATTACTGCAGGAATAAGTGAGACTTTGGAAGACTGTTAGAAAGATATGAATTGTATTTTCCAATGCAAGGAAGACATAAAATTTGGGAGTCCAGGGGTAGAATGATATAGTTTGGATATTTGTCCCCACTCAAATCTCATGTTGAAATGTAATCCCCAATGCTGGAGATGGGACCTGGTGGGAAGTGTTTGGGTTATGGGGGTGCATCCCTCATGGCTTGGTGCTGTCCTTGAGAGAGTGAGTCCGTTCGCTGAAGATCTGGTTGTTGTGAAATGTGGCACCTCCCCCCAAATCTCTCTCTTGCTCCTGCTCTTGCCGTGTGAGACACTTGCTCCCTCTTCGATTTCTGCCATGATTATAAGCTTCCTGAGGCCTCCCCAGAATCAGATGCCAGCACTATGCTTCCTGTACAGTCTGCAGAACCATGAGCCAATTAAACCTCTTTTCTTTTAGTCAGTCTCAGGTATTTCCTTATAGCCAAGCAAGAACAGCCTAATACATGGCAATTAGGATGGAAGAAGTAGAAGAAAGCAAGTAAACTACTGATACATGCAATAACATGGATGAACCGCAAAATCTTATTATGCAAAAGGAGCGTGATGCAAAATGTGCATTCTTTATGACTCCATGTATATGAAGTCCAAGAACTGCAAAACTCCTCGATTACGATGGAAACCAAAACTGTGGTTGCCTATGAACGGGGTGGGAATTGATAGAAATGAGACTTGAAGGGAATTTCTGGGTTGATGCAAATATCCTCTATCTTAACTGAAGTGGTAGTTGATGCATGTATACAATTTATAAATACTCATCAAATTACATACTTACTATGCCAACTCATGGTATGGAAATTTTATCTCAATTTCAGAAACAAAACAAAAAGTAACAAAGACTATATAGATGTCAGAATTTCCAGGAGTAGAGTGTGCATATTTTTAGTTCAGAGACTTCCCTAGGTAAGGATAATGCCCATGTCTAGTTAAGAATCACTACATTAGACTTAGCACCATGTTTGGCAGCTAAAGTTTAACATTCAAACAAATGACTGACACTGCGGTAGGTAGCACACGTTCAGACATGGCAGAACTGGGAGTCAAGGCCATGACGTCTCATGTCATATCCAGTGTGCTTCATTCCCTTATATATTATAGATCCTTTATATAGTCAACCCAAGTTACTAAGCTCAAATATATAATATAGTTCAATTAGACCTAAGACACATAATCCGAATGACACATCATTGTTATATATATAACACCAAAAAAGAAAAGCTCTACCAAGGAAGCTATGACACAATGCATATGAGTTGAATTTTTATAATACCTAAGTACTACACTGTAGGTAACTGCCCTCCAGCTTCAGTCTTGGAGGATCCTAAATTATGGCTCTCCTTACTTGAAAGAGCTTACATATACTTGTTCTGCAGTTATGCATATATGTGTACACACACACACACACACACACACACACACACATATAAATTGAATAATTTCATCAAGAACATTTTCTATGACTTAATGCTTGAAAATGTACAGGTAAGAAAATACTGTTTCATTACTAGTTCAATGATACGGTCCTGCATCTACTATAAAATAATGTCAGAATTCTGACTACTCAAAATATGTAAACACATTCTACTGTCACATAAGTGCAGAGTCCTACTCAGGTAACGCAAATGTAATATCTTTCAGCAATCATGAGCCTGCCAAAGTGCATCTTTAGTACGTCAACGGTCAGAGTGGTGTTCTGCAAACTTGCCTGGTGAGAATCACCTGGGGCACTAGTTTTAAAACCACAACTCTCAGGACCCTCCCCCGCTGGAGATGATGCGTTGTTCTGAGTCAGAGCCTTGGAATCACATGCCATGTGTGAATCTTATTAGGCAAAACAGGGGAACACTATTCCAGAATATGTGAACTCTCGGAATACATAATTACAGAAAACATTTCACCAATCATGAGAGTTGCACAAAGACCTTTCAAATTCATTACAAATAAAAAGCAGATTTTTATCTTTCCTGTGCCTGAAATTCTGTTACAAATCAAAACAGAGGAAGCCTGGGGACAGATATGCATATTCAGACTCTACTTGATGATTCTGAGGAATCTACAAAAGAAACCTAGGGAAAAAAAAAAAAGTCGAGCAATTTCACAGATTCTGTCGATAAACTTGCAACTAGGCACCACTTTAAAAACAATTCTGCTCTTTTCCTATTTTAAAAGCAACTTGTGTACTTAAAATACAAACATTTTATTCTAATCATGAAAGCGAAACGTTTGTTCATTTAACATATTTAAAATCTATAAATTCTTCTAAGTGTTACAGTGTTGACTTGTCCAATAGAATGCCCCATGGTAATGGAGATGTTCAACATCCGTGCTAATACAGGCACCTCTAACCACATGTGGCCACTGAGCACTTAAGAGGACTTAAGATGACTAACTGCATTTCAACATTTATTTAATTTTAATTAATTTAAATGGCCACATGTGGCTTGTGGACACAGGTCCAGAAAATAAAATGGTTACACACACATCTAAAAGTTTATTTTTGTTCATGATCTGGGTTGAGAGCGTTTTGAGATCCAGGTGAGCTGAATTACCAATGGGATCGCATGACCAGCAGGCAATGCAAAATTATCAAAATCACCACAACTACCAACAGCTTAAGATTTTTAAAAAATATAGTCTCTTCTTAATTTCCAAGAGTTACTTCTGATAATGACCTCTTAGAACTTTTTATTAGCTTTATTCTTTATAATGTTTCGCTCTTTTAAACAATAGGAGAATTAGAATATCTAAATATCTAAAATATTAGTCCCATTCCTAACAGCAAAAACAAAGGGTACATTTCTTTTCCACTCCAACTTCTGGGCTCTCCTTTTTTTTTTAATTATTAAATTTGCAGCATATCTTTTCCTTTCCTTTTTTTAAAATCCATAACTCTTCTCTCAGGCTTCCTCCCTCCCTACTTAAAACTGCTCTTACCACTCACCTGTACCTTTTTTCTTTTTTTTTTGTTCTTTTCCTATACACATTTTACATTTATCCATCTCTTACCTAGCTTTATATACTGCTATCCTTACTTTTTTTTTTTTTTTTTTTTTTTTTTTTTTGAGACGTCTGTTTCTGTCACCCAGGCTGGAGTGCAGTGGCGCAGTGGCGTGATCTCGGCTCACTGCAACCTCCACCTCCCGAGTTCAAGCAATTCCCCTCCCTCAGTCTCCCAAGTAGCTGGGATTACAGGCGCCTGCCACCATGCCTGGTTAATTTTTTGTAGTTTTAGTAGAGACAGGGTTTCACCCTATTAGCCAGGATGGTCTTGATCTCCTGACCTCATGATCCGCCCACCTCAGCCTCTCAACGTGCTGGGATTACAGGTGTGAGCCACCACGCCTAGCACTATCCTTACTTTTCATTTCCCCTCCTTCCCCTTTTTTTCCTGTGCCAGAAAATCTAAAGCTTATTTGCTCATTTAATGAGCCTATTATTACAAAAAGTCTTTTCAAAGGGGTTTAATCAATCTCAGAGCCTCCTTTTTTCCTTCTGCTTGAATAAGAAGACTTGGGTGTAAAGGTTGAGGAGGAGCACTCACCACTCACAACACTCATAACACCAGCCCCTTCATTGATAGGAGAGGTATGGTGATGAGGATGAGGATGAAGATGAGGATGAGAACTATGTAAGGATGAGGATGAGAACTATGTAAGGATATTAACTCCTCTCCTTCTTTGTTCACCTGTATAAGAAATGAAAGGTTATCAACTGGCGTTAATGATCAAAAGAAAATGCAACAAAGAAAAGATGGCCAACTTTGTTTTGAAAAGTCCCTGCACCCAAGAAGGTATTTATCCAAATTAGACACAAAAATCCATCAACAACTGGAAGATAATACAAGACAAAAGCAAAACCAAAGATCCCATTTCACAGCATCAACTATTCACACTTGTGGAAATTCTGAAAAGGGAAAGATACGCGTAGCTTGGAGTCATCAAGATGGATTTGACAGGAAAGGAAGAAAATATGCTGGACTTTGATGGAAAGGTAGACTATAGATCAAAAAGAGGACAGATTTATAAACTGAGGAGAGGGCAGGCAGAGCAGAGGCAAGAATGAGTATGACCCAAAACACAGAAAGGGCATTCAGGACAGCAGCCTAAAGGTTAATGTTGGTAAACAGAAAAAGATGTGGTTATGAAAGGGTCATCTTGAGGAATAAACTGAATATAAGAACAGAAATGTAAGTGGGATGAATTAAACACTGTCTTTACTACAAAGATATGGTGAGAGGAAGGGCAATCTCTCAGAATGAGAGATCTGAGATTCCGAGAAATTGCCCTTCCTAACCACAACAGGAGGGAAAATGTAATCAGAAAAAAATCACTGAAGACACTTATAATTTCTTTTTTTTTTTTTTTTTTTTTTTTTTTTGAGATAGAGTCTTGCTCTGTCACCCAGGCTGGAGTGCAATGGCGCAATCTTGGCTCACTGCAACCTCCGCCTCCCGGATTCAAGCAATTCTCATGCCTCAGCCTCCTGAGTAGCTGGGATTACAGGCATGCACCACCACACCACCACACCCGACTAATTTTTGTAATTTTAGTAGAGACGGGGTTTCACCATATTGGTCAGGCTGGTCTTGAACTCCTGACCCCAGGTGATCCACCTGCCTCAGCCTCCCAAAGTGCTGGGATAACAGGCATGAGCCACCAAGACTGGCCTGAAGACACTTATCATAGTCAGTAAGTAAGTGGCAGCAATGGAGATACACAGTTAAAAGTCAATTAAAGAGACATTTAAGGAATAAAAATCGATAAAGTTTGAAGATATATTTAAAAGGCGAGAAGGAAAAAAAGGAAGCATCAAGGATGACTTAATGTTTCCATCCTGAAAAGCAGAATGAAGGATTGGTGGCACACGTGATCACAACATCTAAAACACATAAAAATTCCATCTGTTTTCACATCTTTCTTGGGCAGCTGGCTTGATTCATGCATACCAAATGAGGCCCTCCAGCATTTTTCAATACAATAAGCTTAAGAATATTATGGTAATATTAAGTGCAACCACATAAAACAAACACTAGGAATATTTTTTCAATTATTTCCTTATTTATGGATTAAAATGACGTATCTCACATTTGCTTGCAAATACTCCAGTAGAAAAGGGTAATATCAAGCAAAATTGGCCATGAGTTAGCAAATGTTGAAGATGGAGGCTCATTAAACTATTCTCTCCATTTAAAAACAAAAACGTGCTCACTGCTTTTATGTATTCACACAGATTTAACCATTCACTGAGCACTCCCTTCTAAGGAAAAAGATTGTGAACTCTGACAATGAAATCTGTAACTAATTTTTACTAAAAAAAAAGGTAAGTCTAACACACTATACCATCATTAAACATAACTACAAAAAACATATTTAAAAACAAACTGAAAAACCCTACCTCATTCTACCCTGCCCTTCCATAAGCCTGTGTGCTTTACATGATGTCAAGAATAAACATAAAAAAATGATTCAAATGCTATGTTTTTTAAAAGGTATTCATAGAATAATATCAAGACATACCAAAGCAAACGATGTTGTAGTCAAGCAGTACATAAAATGCACAGTACTTTGGGTAAAATATATTTATGAAAGTTTACACCTTGGGCAAGCTGTAAATATTCTCTAAATATTAACTGATATTTTAACATTTATTAGTGGATATTAACTAACTGAATAAATATTAACCGATGTTTTAAATATTAACTAAATATTTTACCGTTGGTCATTGCATCCTAATAAAAATGTGACATATAACTGACTGCACGAACATCAAATATTATTAATCTTAAACTGTAGTTCATCTTAAACTTTAGTTAAGACTCAGTAAATTATCTTTAATAAAGTGTAAATGGTTAACTGAGTCCCTGAGATAATCTAAAACATAAGAGACCCTTAAGACATTTGTTTTCCTGGAACTGTTTTGGGATGCAGAGCATACGTTTAAGCTCTTAGGGATGCTGAATGTGTTGAATCCCAAGCGCAAACCACTGCTGCAAATTTAAGCACTAAGATCCAAATCAAAGCCTGAAAAAATGTTTTGTCACATTACAAACAACAATATAACTAGATAAAAGTTTACAGTCTGTTTTCCCTAGTAAGATGTGTGTGTGTGTGTGTGTGTGTGTGTTTTGTTTGTTTGTTTTTGAGATGGAGTTTCACTCTTTTTGCCCAGGCTGGAGTGCAATGGCACAATCTCAGCTCACTGCAACTGAGTAGCTGGGATTACAGTCGCGCGCCACCACACCTGGCTAATTTTTTTTTTTTAAGTAGAGACAGGGTTTCACCACGCTGGCCAGGCTGGTGAAAACTCCCAACCTCAGGTGATCCACCCACCTCAGCCTCCCAAAGTGTTGGGATTACAGGTGTGAGCCACTGCGCCCGGCCCCTAGTAAGTTTTTTTTTTTTTAAAGTTTTGTGAAACACTAACAGTGTTTGAAAGAGGGCATTTTCCAAAACAAATTACTATATTATATGTTGTAATCATTAACTTTTCATATGATAAAAGGAGATGAATCACTAATGACTTAATAGAAAGTTTAATTGAGCAGATACGTATAAATTAGGGGTTAAGCCCACTCTGCCACTGGCTGTGTTACCTTGAGCACATGTGACTTGCTATGTGATCTTGAGCAAATCATTAATCTCAACTTCCTCATCTGTTACATGAAGATAATAAGAGCACCTGCTTCTCAGGGTAAGAGTTAAATGAGTCAATCTATGAAAAGGTCTCAGCACAGTGACTGACACATAGTAAACATGATAAATTGTTAACTATCATTGTCACTGCCACCATCAACACCATCATCATCATTAAACATCTGAAATGCTACTATATCTACAATATGAATCCATTTTAGTAAATAAGATCACATGCCTATGCACACAAAACTAGAAAGAAATGGTCCAAGGTGTTAGCAGAGGATATTTCTGGATAATATAATTATAGACATTATTATTATTTCCCCTGGGTGCTTCTTTTTTATTGTTTTGTCGAAGTTCTTAACTGCATTTGCAATTTTGATAAAATTGTTTTTAAATTTGTGTTTTTCTTTCGGTTTTGCTCTTAAGAAAGAACAAACGTAATACTGAATCAAGTTAAGGAAATAATCTAATTATAGTCCTTAAACATAAGAAGGAGGATAAGTTCATGGGACCATAGGTATATGACATTTATGAAATTCCTTAAGATGCTGAAAAGATAGAAACTGTACATTGTTCTTAATAATAACAATTCTAATAATGGCTACCATTTATCAAGTAATTACAACCTTCCAGTTTAGATATTATTTTATCCTCACAGTAATCTAATAAGATATTTTTGTTGTTTCTATTTATAACTTAAGAAAACAGAGACTCCATAGTAAAAAACTGGTAGGCATGTGCACACACACACACACACACACACACACACACACATTCTCTCTCTCTCTTTCACTTAAATTTTCAATGGGGATGTGGTGCTATTCTCTAAATGTCTAAAAGGTTTCATTATAAAAACTCTCATACCACTTAACTTCTTTTTTAAGTGTTAACTTTTTAAATATTTATTTCCATTATAAACTCAAATTTTATACCAAGCTATACACCAATGTGTACAAATCCCACTAGGATTGCAGCAGTGATAACTACATCTTCTTTATAATAACACTTAAAAACATAATAAAATCTTTTGATCCCAGAATAACAGTCTTGTTCAAATGATTAAAAATCACATATCAGGCAAGGCGCAGTGGCTCACGCCTGTAATCCCAGCACTTTGGGAGGCTGAGGCAGGCAGATCACCTGAGGTCGGGAGTTCACAACCAGCCTGACCAATATGGAGAAACCCCATCTCTACTAAAAATACAAAATTAGCCGGGCGTGGTGGCACATGCCTGTAATCCCAGCTACTCGGAAGGCTGAGGCAGGAGAATTGCTTGAACCTGGGAGGCGGAGGTTGCACCATTGCACTCCAGCCTGGGCAACAAGAGCAAAACTCCGTCTCAAAAACAAAACAAAACAAAACAAAAACAAACAAACAAAAAAATGACATATCAAGGACATTCGGCATTAACACGCTTCCAGGATGCCAAGAGTGGCCCCTTCAGAAGGATGATGGAGAGACAACTGTCCACAGTCTGTTGAAGCATAAAGTGTGGGTGGAAAGCCACCCAGGCGCCAAGGCAAGAGACAGAGGACATGAGCTGTTCCAGTATAATAAAATATAAAACAAGAATAGTTATACCAGATATAGATCTTAGATATGATTATATATGCATATCATTAATCATTAGTTTGTAGCAATTACTTTTTATTCCAATATTATAATAATCCTTGCTCTATAATCATAGCCAAGGAACCAGGCCATACAGAGATAGGAGCTGAGGGGACATAGTAAGGTGTGACCAGAAGACAAGAGTGCGAGCCTTCTGTTATGCCCGGACAGGGCCACCAGAGGGCTCCTTGGTCTAGCGGTGACGCCAGCGTCTGGGAAGACGCCCGTTGCCAGGCGGACTGTGGTCTAGCAGTAGCGAAAAGTGTCAAGGAACAACACCCGCTACTTAGCAGACCAGGAAAGGGAGTCTCCCTTTCCCCAGGGGAGTTCAGAGAAGATTCTGCTCCTCTACCTCTTGTGGAGGGCCTGACGTCAGTCAGGTTTGCCCGCAGTTATCTGGAGGCCTAACCGTCTCCCTGTGATGCTGTGCTTCAGTGGTCACACTCCTAGTCCGCCTTCATGTTCCATCCTGTACACCTGGCTCTGCCTTCCAGATAGCAGTAGTAAATTAGTGAAAGTACTAATAGTCCCTGATATGCAGAAATAATAGCATAAGCTGTCTTTCTCTCTGTCTCCTCTCCCTCTCTGCCTCGGCTGCCAGGCAGGGAAGGGCCCCCTGTCCAGTGGACACCTGACCCACGTGACCTTACCTATCACTGGAGATGACTCACACTCTTTACCCTGCCCCTTTTGCCTTGTATCCAATAAATAACAGTGCAGCCAGACATTCGGGGCCACTACCGGTCTCCGTGCATTGGTGGTAGTGGTCCCCTGGGCCCAGCTGCCTTTTCTTTTATCTCTGTCTTGTGTCTCTATTTCTACACTCTCTCGTCGCCGCACACAGGGAGAGACCCACCGACCCTGTGGGGCTGGTCCCTACATAAAGCATGTTTCATTATATCCTATTTTGGCCAAAAGACATGCCTCATTAGCATGACATTCCAATTGCAGAATATTTTACTCCAATTGTCAAAGGGGAAATGATCATAATTTTATCTATATAAAAAATCATTTAAAAGTTTTAAGCCAAGAATAATTGTTCAAACCTCATATAATTGAAAAAAAATTCTAGTTGTGCTGCATTTTTTATTCCTGATTTCAGGCCTGCCACAGTGGCTCACACCTGTAACGCCAGCAATGGGAGGCTGAAGCAGGAGGATCACTTGAAGACAGGAGGTGGAGACCAACCTGGGCCACAAAGCAAGACTCCATCGCTACAAAAATTAAAATTTAAAAATTAGCCACACATATTGGTGCACACCAGTTGTAGGTCCTAGCTACTTGGGAGGCTACAGCGTGAGGATCACTTGAGCCTAGGAGTTCAAAGCCATGCTGAACCATGATCACACCACTGCCCTCCAGCCTGAGCAAGAGCATGACCTGGTCTCTGAAATAAATAAATACACATATACATAAATATCCCATAAAAGTTACTAGCAGAGTAATGTGTAATTCCCTAATGTTAAATAACAGAACAATTCAATTTGGCCACCTCTCACTTTTATCACTCTATACAGGCAACATAAGGAAAGTGGCTAACAAATAGCAAAATTAGAGGCATAATGGAATTCTGTATATTTACTTTGGATTGATTCCATTTCCAATGTATATATTAAAATTCTCACTTCTTTAAAAATGATCTTTCCCTCCAAACAGTCGTCTGGCTTACAGTGATATCAGTTCATGAACTAAACAAAATAAAGGAGCTATGGGCTCATTCCATCCAAACTGGTTAAAATATGTCATTGGGCCATTTTAAAACTTCCTTGTAATCAAAGGGTCGTTACTGACTTGCCTACTACGTAGGGAAGAAATAATCTAAGGAATAGCAAAGGAGGGATTAGCAAGAATCCTCGCTATTTACATGCACTGGAACAGATCAGCGGAGGGTGCAGCAGAGCAGTAAGGAGGCCTGGCAGCCAGAGGAGCTCCATTTGTATGTTTCCTGTCCTGGAAACTCCCAGAGGATTTCTTATCTATGATTTCACTTGAGGAAAAGAATTTTGCTGGTAAAACAAAATTAAAGCACTGTAAAATGTTTTTGAATATATGCAAACATGTTTATATATGTATTATATTAATATACACATATGTATTTGCATATCTAATCCCCAAAACACACATGTGAAATGAAGCTGGACAGAGCTCCAATAAACACACTAGAAGGAACAAGCCTTACCTGCCAGGGTCTGAATTAGGCTAGAGATATTTCCATTTTAACTCCAGCACTTCATTAAAAAACATTAAACAGTCTCTGTACAGCATCAGTCAGTGTCTCTTACTCTTGTCAAACTGTTAGTTACAGGGAATTGGAAGGATAAAATAAACAACCCTTCCCAATCCTATTCATCAAGCTTGAATAATAAAATGTCATTATTGAATCATCATTATTCTGAACCAAATGTGATATAACCATAAAACACAACATGGAAGGAGTAAAAATGCACATTTTTTTCCTAAACTTGTTAAGGATGACCATTAAACTCCACTTTCCTCTGACAAGCGTGATTTAGATGGCAGCCAAAAATGCATGAAAATAAATTGTCTATTCTATCTCTTCCTTCTCTTCATGCTGTCTTTATTTATGGTGGTCGTAACTCTGCAACCCATAAAGAGTGGTAGTGAATACTGTGCAAAGGCAGCAAAGTCAACATTAACTAATAAAGGCAGGTTTTATCAGAGGATAACAAAGTTACTAGCAAACCTTAGGTTACTGAGAAAAATAACACATAAATCTACTGTAAGACTTCAAATATGAATGTGTGTGCTGACTACTAAATTTACCTATTATATATTTTTAAATAGATGATTGAATGAGCAAAGATAATATGTATAATTCATTTTAAATGTCATTAATTAGATGTCCAAATCATTACGTTTAATATATGTCTATTTAGAAGGAGATACACTGAGTGATTTTTAGAGGCAAGGCTATCAAGCTGACTTTTGAAAACTACGCAGATAATCAAAACTAATTTAGTCTTAAAAAAAATTAAACTTAAATGATTCTTTCTGCATATTGAATTATCAATATATTCCAAAAATTATGTATCATGGATCATTCAATTCCTTATAAAATTATTTTCTCTCGATGAATATTTCTTTCAAAAATTTTCTGCTAAAATAAAGTTATATTTTAAATGATTTGTATGCTATAGCTGAACATTATATAAAACCTAAAAAAAGTTACCAAAAACATTGAAGATTTTTCCTAAATAAGAACATTGCCTTTTGTGTGGTTCATTATTTCTATGGGAACAAATAGTGTTAATTTTCAAATTAGGATCTCTTTACCCCCATACAAAAATCAATCACATTTCTATCTACCAATAATGAACATGTGGAAAAAAAATTTTAAAAACAATGTCATTTATGATCACTTTAAAGAAAAAGAATACTTAGGCAAAAACATTAAAATATATGTACTATATTTTTTAAATATCATTTTATGGTATTTAAAATACCATCGTTCATCAGCATTTTGGTAATTTTTACCATATATTATTTAAAATACTATTTTAAACACCATTTTTTAAAAATATATGGTAAAAATTACCAAAATGCTGAGTCATGTTAGATACAAATTTTAATAGTAATATTTATATACTGTTTACACAGAGCTTATCTAAACATTGAAAATTACACATTAAAAACTCGGTACTTTTAAAAATATATGGTAAAAGCTACCAAAATGCTGATGAAAGAAATCAAAAAAGACCTAAAAAACAGTAATTTTTCAGCAACGCCTAGTTTTTAATGTTCAAGTAAACTTTGTAAAAACAGTATATAAATATTACTATTAAAATTTACATCTAACATGACTATTCTCTTGAGCAGCCATATTCAGTGGCATGAAGCCTGGTGTAACAAATGTCCCACGTATAAATTGAATTGTTCAGTACTTCACACTTCCGGTATTGCTAAGACTTCCATTTTCTTCATTACAAATTGATACTACTTCTTAGTCAAATAAATTTTGTCTAAGCCAAAGGTAAACCATAGGAACAACATTAGGCAATTTCTAAAGTCTGTTATTTTCCTGAAGAAACATTTTGGATAGCTAACAAGTTCCTAGTTATCTTCCCTTTGTATTAATTATGCAACAAAAAGTCACTTATTGGTGAATCTAACAGTTTTATGTATATATACATATATTTTTTGAGACAGAGTCTCTATCGCCCAAGCTGGAGTGCAGTGGTACAGTAATGGCTCACTGCAGCCTCAACCTCCTGGGTTCAAGTGATCCTCCCACCTCAGCCTCCCGAGTAGCTGACACTGCAGGAACAGAACACCATGCTCAGTTCATTTTTAAAATTTTTTTTGCAGAGATGGGATCTCGCCATGTTACCTAGGCTGGTCTTGAACTCCTGGGCTCAACTGATCCATCTGGCCTCCCAAAATGCTGAGATTATAACTGTGAACCACCATGCCTAGACTAAAAGTTATATTATTAATAAAAGGTTATGTATTTCCCAACTACAAGAGTGATGTTTTTGAAAACCATAGTAGTAAAAGTATCTTCAGTTAAAGAAAACAAAAGCTAATGGACAAAATAGGGTTGGCGACAAAGTCATAAAATAAAAATCACATCAGCCCTCAAGGCTGATGTGATTTTTATGTTTTATTGTATACAAAGGCAAAACACATAGATAATGAAATTATAGTTTACCAATTTTAATGGGTCAGAACAGGATCCCAACTTGAACTACCGTAAGCAAAGCAGGTGAATTTATTTATAAAAGTCCTTGTTAGCATCATGGCTTTCTGCAGGTTCTGCCCCTGTCACTCCAAGCCAGAACACGTCTGCAAGGGAAACTGAAATTTCTTTCATATTTCCTAAACAATGCCAGAAAAGCACTTTACCTGGCTAGTTCCAGTTTAAAAATAAAATCCAAAGAACACAGATAGGACTGAGTCATGTGTCCATCCCTGAGCCAATCTCAGTGGCCAGGGGGACCATCGACCTGGACACAGCTCAGGGAATCCACCACTGCAGCCAATGTCTGGGCTATGATGACTGGCAGCTTCCACTAGAACTACATGGTTAGAATGAGAGAGGAGAGGTATTTTTGCCAACAAAGGGGGAGTACTGAGCCAACAAAAAGAATAGCTATCTACATCACTGAGTAATAACAAGCATGTTCTTTTTATATTTTAACAATCTGAAAATAGGATATGTCTCAAAAACATTTGTTGGCCCGATGAAAATCATGATATAGTGTCATTATCCATATATGCAAAAACTGGGTGACGTATCTGGGCCAGGAAACTTTTCAACATTTCAATCAATAAGCCGTTTGAGAACCATCTTAGGAAGGTAAATGAATATTCATATTTCACTGAATCCTTTCCATTGACTCATATGGTAAGATTATGAAAACAATAGCATTGAAACATGCATCTTTGATGACAGCAGCTTGAAGAAAGATCTGGAAGTCAACACTCTATCATTCGTTTAAAAATGCTTCATCGCCAGTGTTATTAGTGGCACAGAAGACAATATTATGTTGAAAAACATGAACATCAACAACTCTCTTGCAAAGTGATTCAGAAGAGTTACACAATAAATGCAAAGTTTTAAAAAATATCCTTCACCATTTTTTTCACTTATATCTTTAAGAGTGCTGTGGTTTCAAATATGTCCACAAATTCCTTGTTTTTCCTCATTTGACACGTAGAAGGGTAGAGTCTAATTTTCTTACCCTTGAAAGTTGGCTTGACTTAGCAACTCACTTCTAACAAATATGACAGAAATAATGAAATGTGATTTTGGAAACTAGGTCATAAAAGACATTTCAGAATCTTTCTCACTTGTTCTCTTGGATCATTTACTCTGGGGAAAGACAATCACCATGCTGTAAGAGTAGTCAACCATCTCCATGGGGGACAAGGGATTCTCCCATCAGCATCAACAATGTGAGTATGCCATCTTGATACTACATTCTCCAGCCCCAGGAAATCCTTCAGATGACCACAGCACCAACCAACATCTTGACTACAATTTCATAAGCGATACTAAGCCTGAACCACCTATGATAACTAGCTCTTGAATTCTTGCCCCAGA
The DNA here is from genome assembly GCF_000001405.40 of Homo sapiens. NCBI lineage: Eukaryota > Metazoa > Chordata > Mammalia > Primates > Hominidae > Homo > Homo sapiens. Next base: position 144,732,908 of record NC_000007.14, read on the forward strand.
GAATCTGTGAGATAATAACTGTTAATATAATAAATAGGCCGGGCACAGTGGCTCATGGCTCTAATCCCAGCACTTTGGGAGGCTGAGGTGGGTGGATCACCTGAGGTCAGGAGTTCGAGACCAGCCTGACCAACATGGAGAAACCCTGTCTCTATTAAAAATACAAAATTTGCCCAGAGTGGTGGTGCATGCCTGTAATCCCAGCTACTCGGGAGGGTGAGGCAGGAGAATCACTTGAACCCGGGAGATGGAGGTTGCAGTGAGCCGAGGTTGTTCCATTGCACTCCAGCCTGGGCAATAAGAGCGAAGCTCTGTCTCACACACACACAAAAAAATTATATGTACACACACACATATATATGAATATACATATATAAGAAAAACTTGCTTATTAAACTATATGTATATACATATATATTTACATATATAAAATAGTTTATATGTATATACATATATATATATTTACATACATATAAAAGTTTAATAAGCAAGTTTTTCTTTCCTGTGGTACATAAAATACTCATGCATCATAAAACTGATAGAGTCTCTTAGACTCAATAAAATGCAGCAATTAATTTCCATTTACAATCTATTGCTTTGTTGTTTTTTCCATTGAGTTTAAAACAGAAATATATACTCTTTCTCCATTCTGCACTTTCTTTCTTGCTGCCCCCCACCTAGCATGCATTCTCTAAATCCTCCTGGAAGCCTTCCCTGATCTCCCTCAGGCAAATTATATACCTCGCCTCTGTGTGCCACTGTATGCAGGACTTATCTATGTCATAAATAAGTGTTATCCATATGTTTATTGAAATAATAATTGAATACTATATTAAGCATTTCTGAATGTCATTTTTCTCAAATAAATTGGAGATTCAGAGCAACACAGAAGATTGCAATATAAAAAGGTTTACCAACCATTAGACAAAAAACAGTAGTGAGAAAAGCTTTTTTATAGTTATCAAATATGTATTTCTCAAAACCTTATTATAGTTCTGCCTATAACCAAAGGAGATGTCTACAGTCAATTCTGTTTTTATACATATCAGCTCCCACTCTTTCACATTATTTTTAATTGTCTTCAATTTTAACTACACATACACAGCTTATATAATTATCTCAAATCTTATATGTATAAATGTGTTCATATCATAAAGGCTTTTATTTATGCTATTTGTGCAGTTTTTGTTTTTCGCTTGCTCTCTCCCTCTCTCTTCTCTATGCTCACACCTTATTCCCTTCCCCAACCCGTCTAAGAGACACATTATAGGATCCCTGCTTCTCCATGTTGATAAACAGACAAATAAATTTTCACCCATACACAGTAAATATGTATATGTGGATTTGTTTACTTCACTTATTTTATTAAAATCACATCAAATAATGGGAACTTTTCTGCATCCTACTTTTCTCCTCACTCAATACCTCACTGAAATTCCAAGGCAATGAGTGCAGCTCTAATTCTTTTTTTTCAAAATGGCATCATATTCTTTGACACATATATGCCATAATCTATAACTATTCAATGATGATTGGGCATTTACTTTGTTTATACTTATAATTCCATATCTATTGTTTTTCTACTAACACTATGGTATTTTATGCCAACGAAAATGTACCTTTTTTTTTTTTTTGAGATAGGATCTCGCTGTCACCCAGGCTAGAGTGTAGTGCTGTAATCATGGCTCCCTGCAGCCTCAACCTCCTGGGCTCAAGTGATCCTCCCACCTCAACCTCTCAAGTAGCTGGGACTACAGTTGTGTTCCACCACACCCAGGTACTAACTTTTAAACAGTCAAATACTCCTAGCTTTTAAACTTCTAGGTTTCCAATCCTAGATGAGAAAGACCTTCCCTAATCCTACATTCATATATATCCTGATTGCCTTCAAAAATTTTTGTTTTTCTTTTTTACATTTATGTATTTTTATGTATTTGGAAATATTTTCACATGTGATATAAGGGTCTGATACAATCACATAGTCTCTATAGATGAGGAAAATATTTTGAAGACGTTTAAATCAGCAGTGTTACAAAACAGTTTAAATTGACTGATTCAAGTTTCCTTATTAAATTTTTTGCAATAAGGTAAAAAAATGTGAATAGGTATTATCTATCCATCGTATTTATAAACTGTTGGCTAATTCACCCTAGCAAGCATCTCTCCTCAATTTAAAAATCTGGCTAAGTCAAGGAAGCATGTTCTCATTAATTAAAAGTCATAAGGCCTAGGCAAGACTATACTGATATAATAATTACAATATTTGACTGCAATTCAATACACATACATAAAACAACTATAATGAGTAAAAAAGTTTTAGGTTAAATTCAAACTGTTTTCAGGAGATAGTGCCTAACTGTGCTACATGACATTCTCCATACAAGTCTTCCAATGTAACTGTTACTGTTACATGAAGGACAGACAATCCAATTCTTTGGCTAAAAATGGATGTTTGTAATCAAATTTTCCACGGTTATTAGGACTCGAGACTGTTCTAACACTCAAATGTGGCAGATAAGTCCAAGGTAGTAGGTTGCTTCTAATATTCTCTATATTACAATCTTTTTCATTACATTTCTGCCTCTGCTCATAAAGTAGAATTCTTAATCCTAGTGGCATACTTTACTTCAACATTGTGAAATATTTTAAGTATAACCTGGCTGGGTTTTTGGCTTCCAGGTTCTTCTACTTTTCCAGAAGGATCCTTGAACACTGTCATGCCAGCCAAAGCCCAAGAAAAAACATCCTCTATAATACAGTAGAAGAGAGAGGCACTAAACTGGTCAGTGTCAGTCAGGATTCTTCAGTTTGAAAGATAACAGCTGTTCCCTTCCACACCAGCATAATAAATAAAGAATTCTATGCCCTGGTGTTTTTTTTTTTTTTCCTTTTTGAAACATCACTTTTGATCTCCTTACAATTTATTATCAGCGATGGCATTTTTGCCTGCAGCAGTTTTTCAGCCAACTCCTGACGTGTGTGCATCCACGCAGATCTCTGCTCAATCCCTAAAGTCCCTTTTAGAATTGCAGCAGCATGCATACTCCCCACCACACAAAATACGACACGCATACAGGTGGTTATTTCTTGTGCTGGGTTTCATCTTCAGTACAGGTTAAAAACTCTCAAGGGCACAGCCTTCCTTATCTGCCTCTCAAATTTCCTTTCAAGCATCCTGCACAGTACATTGGTAAAATCCCGGATGATACATAAATCCTCACTGATTGATTTATAACACACACTTACAGATTGTAAATCCTGCTAAGGAAAGGGTCCTGTCTCGTTGTCTTTGTAATCCCGGCAATCTGCTAGCTCCTCAGCTCATGGAGCTCACTCATTTTTTAACCTAATAAGCATTTTGAACATTATTAATTTGCAACATTGGACAAGAGGCTTAAGAACTTTATAGTGACATAATCCTAAGGATATGTCCTTTTCACTAAACACTTTGCTTGTTTGTTTTAAATCAAGAAGACAAATTTCTTCAGAAAACAGTGTCTTTAATTAAGAATTTAATGCTAATAATGATAGCTTGTCACACTCTTCCACATAAAGCTCACCCTAGTAAAAATATTGTAAACAAGAGTGTTCTAATTAAAATAAACAAAGATCCCTCTTTGATCTGGGAATTAAAATAATAAGTACTAAAAACAGCGAAGTACACCAAAATATGGTAACAACTGACATTTTTGCCTAGCTTCATAAATGTATCACTTTTTAAAGAAATTAACTTTTTTCTGTTCAAAATATTTTATTTTCTGTAGTATTACAGAATTTCTAAGCTTTCTAAGGGGATATTTTCAAAGAAGCAGTTGCCGTAAATGTTAAAGAAAATCAAAATTAAAACCCAGTAAACAAAAGCTTTCACTTAAACATCAAACTTATCATGCAGAGAGGAGAAGGGAAGTATTCACAAAAGGAAATATAATATTAAAAAGCTATGTTCTCACTGGTAAAAGACAAGAATTGATGCTATATGAGACTTTAGTAGGGCTGAAGTCTAAATCTATGAAGGCCATTATCTCAGAATCTAATAAAAGTTGTGCTAAAACAAAAATGTTCCCCTAAGACCTAAGCCACTGGTTATCAAACCAGACCAGAGGGAGGCAAAGGAGGGAGGAGAGAAAGAAAAGAAAAAAGAGAAGAGAAGAGAGAAAAGAAAAGAGAAGAGAAAGAGAAAAAAAAGAAAAAAGAGAAGAAAAGAAAAAAGAAAAGGAAAGGAAAGGAAAAGGGAAAGGGAAAGAGAGAAAGAGAAAGAAAAGAAAAAACGTGGGGGAAGAAGGAAGGAAAGGAGGGAGGGAGGGAGGGGAGGGGAGGGAAGGGCAGGGCAGTAGAGTAGAGAGGAGGCAAGTGAATAAGGGAGGGGGAGAAGGGAGGGAGGAAGGAAAAGAAGAAGGAAGTAAGACAAACCTGTTAGGAATGTTAATTCTTAAATCCTATCCCAGACCCACTGAATCCAAAATGCTGGGCTAGGGCCCTCCAGGTAATTCTGATGCATGCTAAATTTGAGAACCACTGGCCTATAGCACATGAACAAAATGAACATATCCAGAAGTGAGGACAGAATATAAAATAAATTTTGCTATAAGTTAAAGCTCATAAAAAAGTGAACATCCTAATCAAGACAAATATTACATTGATGGAATAATAAAGATTAAAATATAATAAATTACACCTTAATGTCTATTTTTGGGGGTAACACCTTATTGAAATATAACTCACATGCCATAAAATTAATACATTTAAATTGTACAATTAATGGTTTTAGTATATCACAGAGTTGTGCAACCATCATGACCAATTTTAGAATATTTTCATCATCCTAAAAAGAAACCCTACACTTTGGTAAGTCTCCCCTATTGCCCTAGTCTCCAGCATCTACTAATATATTCTGTATCTCTACAGATGTGCCTGTTCTGGACATTTCATATGAATGGAACCATAATATGTTCTTCTGTGTCTGCATTCCTTCATTTAACTTAATATTTTCAAGGTTCAGCAATGTCACAGCATGTATCAATACATCATTCCTTTTTCTGACCAAGTAATTTTCTATTATATGAATGGAACATATTCTTTAGCCATTGTTTTTTCCATTCATCCACCCATTACTGGACGTTTGGGTTGTTTCTACCTTTGGGCTATTATAAGTAACACAGCTATGAACATTTGAGTACAAGTTTTGTTTGGACATATATCTTCATTTCTCTTGGGTACATACCTAGGAGTGGAAATAGCTGGGTCAAATGGTAACTCTATTTTTAACAATTTGAGGAATTGCCAGACTGTTTTCCAAATTTATTGCACAATGTTGCATTCCCACGAGCGGTATATGAGGGTTCTGCTTTCTCCATATCCACCCCAACACTTGCTAGTATCTGAATTTTTTACTCTAGCCATCTTAGAGGGTGTGAGGTGGTATCTCATTTGGGTTTTGATTTGCATTTCCCTGATGACTAATGATGTCAGGCATCTTTTCATGTGCATGTTGGCCATTTGTATATCTTCCCTGGAATAAGTCTATTCAGATCCCTTGTTCGTTTCTAAATTGGATCATTTTTCTTATTATTGAGCTGTAAGAATTCTTTATATGTTCTAGATATAAGTCTTTTATCAGATATAAGATTGGCAAATATGATTGGCAAATATTTCTTCCCATTCTCTGGGTTTCCTTTCACTTTCTTGATAGCAATCTTTGAAACACAAAATGTTTACTTTTTAAAAAATATGAAAAAAAGCCAAATTAAAAAAAAACAAAGAAAAAGATACAACAAAAACAAACCAAAAAAAACAAAAACAAAAAACAAAAAATACAGAAAAAAGTTTACTTTTTTAATGTTTCCTGAAAAATACTGGTTTTCAATTCACTATACAATGCTAAGTGTAATTTTTCATTAAGATGCTGGATATTAACATATAGAAACTTACGGGTTTTGCGGTGGACAGTTTATTGGAAACACTGTTCATGTTACAGAGCTATGGCATACAACCACCACTTGGTGGCAGTTAACTGCCAAAAGAGTATTACGAATAAGTTACCTGAATGTAAAAGTCAATGGTTCTGTGACAATCTTGCCATTATCTATATTAATTAATCACTTCCACTGCATGGATAATCAGAAATACAGAGAAACACAAAATAAAGAGTCCATCTGCTTTCCACGGAAACACTTTAAAAATACTGTATACACTACAAGGATAATTTCCCTTGAGATACAACATGCAGAGAGCTCCCATGCTATAAGGGACTCAAGGAAGCAATGCAATGATATTCTGGAAAAAAAAAAAAAACTGGTTGTAGAAGTCTTTAAATTTTAGAAGAAAAGTAAACATTGAAGAAAAAAAAAACTTGTTTATGTGCTCACCGAAAAAAAGGAGGGGGGGATCAAATTGAAGTAGCCAGTAGACATCAGACCAATTTTCCTCAAATGGAAAACGTAGAACATGAAGTCACAGTAAATAAATGGGCATAAGCAGGCAGACAGGCAGGCTGCCAGACACACAGAAAGAAGTGCGGGCAGGCAGAAAAACAGAAATGTACAAGTAACAGAGATTACAAGAGCTAGGAATGCTGATCTCATGGAGGTAGTGAGTAGAAGGATAGTAACCAGAGGCTGGGAAGGCTATGGCACAGGCAGATGAAGAGAGGCTGGTTAATGGGTACAAACATAAAGTTAGATAGAAAGAATAAGTTTTAGTATTCAATAGCACAGTAGTGTAACTACAGTTAACAATAATATATATTTCAAAACAGAAGATCTGAAGTGTTCCCAACACAGAGAAATGATACATGTTTGAGACAATGGATATGCTAAATACTCTGATTGGATCATGACACACTGTAGGCATATATCAAATATCACATGTACCACATAAACATGTACAACTAATATGCATCAATTTAAATATTTTCTTTAGAAAGAGATTCTCTTCTTCAACACAATCTCCAACGGCGCACAACATGCAAGGTGCTATACGAAGCACCAACATAAAGAGAGAGAAGCCAAAGACTTTATGCTCAGTCTACCTGTGAAGACACACATATATGAGTAAGGATGGGAAAGAAATTTCAAATATAAATTGTAAACACTTCTTAAAGCCTAAGGAAGCTGGATGTCACGCTCTAGGAAATGTTTACACCTGCAAAGCTTCTGAACTGAGAGAACAAGAACATAGACAAATGAATCTAAAAGGTAACGTGCAGCATAAATGTAACTGGAAAATAATCAGAAGCAGACAACTCAGAGAACAGCTGAAATAGGACAGAATTAGCATCAAGAAGAGATTAGTTTAGGTAGGAAGTAAAAATGGATGAGAACAATATGAAAACACTGTAAAGAAAAACTTGACAATAGTTGATCATACCCATAAGGATGAAAAAAAAATAAGGAAGTCGTGGGTTAAAAATAGCTCCACAGAGTGAGCCTTAGTGAATAAAAAAGGAGGTAAGTCCACCGAAGTTCTGATTTTAAGACAAAGATGTGGTTTCAAATGTGTCAGGTAAGAGACTTACATAGAAATATCCAGTAGAGGCCAGGCATGGTGGCTCATGCCTGTATTCCCAGCACTTTGGGAGGCTGAGCAGGAGGATCACTTGAGGTCAGGAGTTCAAGACCAGCCTGGCCAACATGGTGAAACCCTGTCTCTACTAAAAATACAAAAATTAGCCGGGCGTGGTGGTGCACACCTGTAGTCCCAGCTACTCAGGAGGCTGAGGCAAGAGAATCATGTGAACCTGGGAGGCAGAGGCTGCAGTGAGCCAAGATCGCGCCACTGCCCTCCAGCCTGGGTAACAGTGTGAAGCTCCATCTCAAAAAAAGAAAAAAGAAATATGCGGTAGAGAGCATATTTCAGGCTAAGAATAATAGAGTTAATATCAGTTTAGCAATTTGAAAACAAATAAATCTTAATCCAATATTCAAAGTAAACAGCCAAAACAATTCTATTAAATGTAGTCCCCTATGGAAAACTTCCGTACTGTTTTAATTAAAATTACCTATTGCTATTCTCCAGGCACAGTTATAAAGCAAAACTTAGATGGGCTTGTAGGGTGGGAGGGAGAGAGGGGATACAGAGTTAAAAAGTACCAGTTTATATATGGAATATAGGTAGCAAAAGGAATTGGAAGCAGACAAAAGCTGAAGGGAAAAATAAATGTAGCCTCAATTTCTGACATTAATGTGGCCATTTAAAAGCTTAATTATTGCTTATAATCTATGTCTGTGCTGTATTAATAAATTTAAATCTCATGAAATATAAATCTTCACTTTTTTTTTTTTTTTTGAGACAGTCTTGTCCCTTCACCCAAGCTGGAGTGCAATGGCGCAATCTCAGCTCACTGCGACCTCTACCTCCTAGGTTCTAGCATAAATCTTCACTTTATTTGCTACTATATAATGCTTATCTCCAAAAGCTCAAAAGAACATTATTGCCTTTACCTTTATAAAATTTATATAGGAAAGACTCCATTTCCTGAGAAAATAAAGTTAGGAGAAATTTAGTTTTTTCCAAAATTAGAAAATGGTCCTTAATTTATCTGGATTTGGAATTGTTGTTGTTGTTGTTTTGGCATATTGAAAGATACCTGTATTTTACAATATTCCACATAGTTAGATAACAGACTTAAATAAATACTTTAAATTAAATACTCATAAAGAATACTATTCTTTCCAATTCTTTAATTTCCTTCAGTTGTTATATTTTTAACATAATAGTTATTAGTGTATTTTTAAAAGAAAGTTTCAAATAGCTAGCTTAAACATTAAAAATACCATCTTCATCTATTACATTATCTAAGGTGCTAACATTTTAATCATTCCAAATAACACTGATAGTAGATAAAATGTGCAAAAAAATCATACAAACTTTGAAGAAATTAATCAAAAACAACCCATTCCATAAGTTAAAAAAATAAAAACACATCTGTTTACCAATGCTTTAAGAAGACAAAATAGTGATAAGTATGTTGATTATTTTGGAGAAATGTTTTCTCTCACTTTTTGTTACGGCACCAAAACTGAAAAGAAAATGGGCTATTTGGTGAGTTCAAATAAAGATAATGGCGGCACCCAATTAAGTAATCAAGTATAACAACCACCTAATTTTATGTAACAACACAGTAGTCAGATACCATCCAAAGACTGTCTTAACACAGTCACACTGGAGGAGATCATATACACACACACACACACATAAATACACACGAGATGACATTAAGACAGGATTACTTTTGGCTGGAGGAAGAAATGGGTGAAGCTTGGTGAAGGGAAAAAACAGAAATGAGCAACCTGAGTGTGTAAACATTTTGCAGAATCCAAGTGGCTTCTTTTACCTCCATTGATCATCTGTCATTTCTGGAGAACCAAATACTACTAGGCACAAAGTATCTCAACTGGCACTCTTCCAGAGAGTAAAAGTGTGACCTGATTAGAAATTAGAAGTTTGTAGGAAACTATAAGGTAATATTTGATCAGGGCAGTCACATCTTTAAGCAGATGAGGAAAGCCTAATCAGAATGATGGGTTATTCTCTGGGAAATATCCTGATACTAACATGGCGAAGTGGGTCTCACAAGGCAGGTCTCACAGGCTCAGAAGAGGCACAAATCACAGGTTATAGTACCATCAGCCCTACTAGTACAAGTCTTTCACATCTCCTTTATTAGTACCTAGCATTTAACTCACAGGCACACATGAGACTGGGTGGAAAAGAGAACGGAAAGAAAGATAGTCTCAATAATTTATTAACAAGGATGATGCAGTATAGTAACAAAAAAGAATGACTTCAAAAAATAAAAAAAGTTAAAAAATAGAGGAAAAGAAAGAGCAAGGGAAAGAAATATAGTAGTCAGTAAAAAATAAGCCTCTGGAGGAAAAATACAGCCTCCAGGTATACATCAAAATGCTTCCCAGCATCTTCAGGAAGTTCTGATGTCCAGTATTGGAAAATCTCAATATAAGGTAACATTCATTTCCATTAATATGACATTTTTCTAAACATATATGCTTGAAGACTACAGGTGACAGCACTTCAAAAATTATTATTCAAGACAGAAAAAAAGCACAGGCAATGACAGAAAGTTCAGTGATAAATATTCTTCTGTATACATTTTAAGTTAATTTAGTTTTATAATTTCTTCATTCCACAGTTAACCTGTTATCTCTATAATCTTTTCTCATTCATTTTGCTGACATATTTATTATGTTTGCTTGAGTTGCAGAATTATGCAGGTATCATTCATTAAATAAAAGGACAGAAGTTTAATTATTTATGACTTTGGCTTTTATTTGAAATACTCTTTAAATTTACTAAGGTAAATACTATCCATGTGCTATAACTTATAATTATCTTTTCATTTTGATTCAAAACTGAAAATAAGACCAGTGAAATTATAATTAGTTCAATGTTCAAGATAAAAAAGGTAGACATTGGCCAGGTGTGGTGGCTCACGCCTGTAATTCCAGCACTTTGGGAGGCCAAGGCGGGCGGACCACAAGGTCAGGAGATCGACACCATCCTGGCTAAAATGGTGAAACCCCATCTCTACTAAAATACAAAAAGTTAGCTGGCCGTGGTGGTGCATGCCTGTAGCCCCATCTACTCAGGAGGCTGAGGCAGGGGAATCACTTGAACCCAAGAGGCGGAGGTTGCAGTGAGCCGAGATCACGCCACTGCACTCCAGCCTGGCAATAGAGGAAGACTCCTTCTCAAAAAAAGAAAGACATCATCAGCTGATATGGTTTGGCTGTGTCCCCACCCAAATCTTATCTTGAATTGTCACTCCCATAATTCCCACCTATTGTGGGAATTAATTTTATCATGGGGTAGGTCTTTTCCATGCTGTTATCATGATAGTAACTCTCATGAGAGCTGATGGTTTTATAAAGGGAAGCTCCCCTGCACACACTCTCTTTGCCTGCCACCATTTAAGACGTGACGACTTTGTTCCTCCTTTGCCTTCTGCCAGGATTGTGAACCATGTGGTACCGCATGTCAATTAAACCTCTTTCATTTATAAATTACCCAGTCTCAGGTATGTCTTTATTAGCAGTGTGAGAATGAACTAATACAGTAAGTTGGTACCAGGAATGTGGTGTTGCCGTAAAGATACCCGAAAATGTGGAAGCAACTTTGGAACAGAGGTCGGAATAGTTTGGAGAGCTCAGAATTTGTAATGGGGTAAACATCGCTCTTGCTATGCAAAGAAACTGGTGGCATTTTGCCCTTGCCCTAGAGACTAATACCTCAACAGTGTATGATAACATAAAATTGGTTAAAAGGGACACAAAATGCTCATCAGTAGGATAAAGTAAGTCTTACATTAATAATAAATTGGAATGCTGACAAAATTGTTCCAGGTATTACAATGAAATAGATATATCTGTTAAGTAATATGTAATCACTTCCAGTTTGTTTAAACATGTGTTTAACAAGTATCAAAATCCTCACAAAAAGTATCGAAAGTTCCTTACATAATAAGCACTATATAAAAACATAATTGAAACCCACTCCAATGGCAAAAGATCCTGAAGTACCAAGGTTAATACTCAGGATTTGAAGACTCATTAGTGCAGAGATAGAATAAATAAAAGAGAATGAACTGAATCTTTACCAAATTTTTAAATACTGATTTGGGAGTTTGACATTTATGATTTATGACTTCTAAAAGTAGAGTTAGCAGAAAAATTTCTACTTTGCTAAGATACACAGTTTATCAAGACTGCTAGGATACAGGTATTGTATCACCTAATCCTCCCTTCACTGGAAGTCAGAAGCTTAAACACCACATGTGCCTAATAAAGAATAAAATACAAAATGCAAAATACAAAAATATCTTAGCCACAAATTTTTATTAAACTGGATGAATGAGAAAAGAAAGAATGCCTCCAATTACTGTGAAAGCCTCAGGATTCTACTTTGCTATGGTAGTTCACAGTTGCATTCTCATGGAAATATAAAGGATGTTATATTTCATTTTCTACGAGTAGAACCTCACAACCATTTCTATCATCTAGAAAATGATATAAAAATCATTTTCTACAAGTAGACCCTCACAACCCCATTTAATGAAACATAAAGTAACGCAGCCATAGCCTTTAATACTGTTAAGTATAAAAATATTGCTTCTCTCTTCTTTTAAAAAAGTTTGCACATGCTTCCTGTTTATTTTCCCCTCATAGAAGAAAGAAGTGTTGCTTCTTTAAAACTAGAAAGCAGATATACATAGGTTTTTTAATATACATTGAGAAGATCAATAGCTCACCTCTTCAAAAAAATGTTAAGAAATTATTAAAGCATGCGAACAATTCTGCAATCATTGGATAGAAAATCCTAGTTTTAGACAAAACAATTCTGCTATCATTGGATAAAAAAATCCTAGTTTTGGACAAAACAATTTTGCTATCATTGGATAGAAAATCCTAGTTTTAGACTGAACAATTACGCCATCATTGGATAGAAAATCCTAGTTTTAGACTGAACAATTACGCCATCATTGGATAGAAAATACTAGTTTTAGACTAATCTATAGCCAAAAAATGCACTTTTGCTTTGTTCTGTAAGACAAGATAAAAAGGGCACAAATGAAAGTTCTCGAGGCCTCTGCTAAAAACTCCCCATAAAAACTAGAAAGAGCATTCTGATTGTAATATTATAAAATATTCCTATTTCACTTCCAACTATAAAAATGGTATTTTATTTAACCAGCAAGAGTTTTAGAACACAGTATTTAGAGGCCTATTGAATGTTATAGTTGAATGCATACCATCTCATGAAGGTCTTTGATTCAATAACAATTGAGATTAATACAATAAAAAGCAAGGAAAAACAAAACCAATAGACCTACCTAAATAATCAAAGCAAAGGAGAGTCTGGCAAATTTAAGCATATGGACATGGATAAGCCATATGGATAACTGAAACCAATCAAAACAATTGGGTTAAATAAATATGGTTAAGTTGGCATATTTATATTTCCCAAGATCCTAAATTTGCTTTCAGTGAACACTCACATCCGTGCTCCTCTAAGTTTCAGTTTATATTTCTTTTTTTCTTCTCTCTAAGATGACAGACCCAGCCTACTTGCAAGCAGTTCCAAGATGATGCCCCTGTTTTTATTCCTGCAGTGTTTTACATGCTATTGAATGTAAACAAGGCACAATGCAACGAAGCATGATTAACTGCAACTGAAAACCCAGGAAAAAGACTGAAATTACTGAAGGCATCATTATGAACGAGATGTAAAAAGTAACCATAAAGCAAAAAGTCCGGCTTGGATTTGTAACTAGTTACAATTAATAAGTTCAATAAATATTTGTCCAATGAGTGATCCAGGCTGGTAATGATACATACATTTTAAATATAGTATTATCATTCCTTTTTTAAAATAACCAAACATTGCTGGCAATGGAAAAAAAAATCAGCTGTATCTTATCTGTCCCCTAAGGTCTCCTCTTCTGAACTCTCAAGAACAACTCTCATCACTGAGTAAATCACAGTACTTCTCCACAATACCTCAACGGAGAACAAGAGGGAGGGCACATTTTGGACACTTCAAGGTAAAAATCACAAACAATTTTCCTTTAGTGACAGAATCTTAATTTCAAAAACTGAGATATTCTGGATGATTCTCCACTAACTTCTACTATAACTTTGGAATGTGTTTTAAACACTCACCATTTATATCTAGATGAATTTAAATGTAAAGGTAAAAATTTCAAAGTAAAATACTTCATAATATTAAATTCTTTCTTACATTAATTATGTTTTCTTGGAGAGTAGATAGCCACCATCACGGATATTTTTCCCCTTTTACTATCTAAGTTGTAGGGAAAGAAAAAGAGAGACAGATGAAGACTGGTAACTTTGAAAAGATATGACATTTGATGAGTATATCTTGGCTGATTTCACTGACCTAATTTATATACCATCCTTAGACAGTATGAGGAATTTTTTTTCACGAAGGACAAGCCAATGAGTCTATTCACTTCATAAAACTCAAATTTTTATATTTATATTTGCATTAACATGGCAGGAGTTAGGGGGAAAATGTAGGTTGTTTTTCTAATGAAGATATTCAAAAGGAAGTCACATATTTTAAATATTTTTATTAAAGGTCTATATATATGTTCCCACGTTAAAAACTCAAAATATAAAAACAAAAAAATAACAGTATGCATGGCAGCAACCCTTCTTTTATAAAAATATACAAATCTTTGTCTAAAAGCTACTGTGCCCCACATCTAAAACCTCCTTTCCCTCAGTGATCATACCTAGTACTGAAAGAGTTTTACTAACTCTTTAAATTACAGTTGCCAGTGGTGGCAACTGTAATCTCTTATTTACCATTCTGTGAACAAATCTAGGGCAATGGGGCTGGCTATCATACTACAAGCCGACTACATCCTATAAAGGAGCAGGTTGGCCTCACTGTGCAATGACCTACAGAACACCTTCATTAAAGTTTATGATAGTCCCAAAGTAATTCAATGAATCCTAATTGATGTTTTACAAGAAAAGCAAATTCTCATCTACATAAAGGTTAATAGATTGATGCCCAAATAACCATAGATAGGTGAGTTATTTAAATTTCCACTTTAGGCCAGGCGCGGTGGCTCACGCCTGTAATCCCAGCACTTTGGGAGGCCGAGGCAGGTGGATCACGAGGTTAGAAGATCGAGACCATCCTGGCTCACACAGTGAAACCCCGTCTCTACTAAAAATACAAAAAAATTAGCCGGGCGTGGTGGCAGGTGCCTGTAGTCTCAGCTACCTCGGGAGGCTGAGGCAGGAGAATGGAGTGAACCCGGGAGGCAGAGCTTGCAGTGAGCTGAGATTGCACCATTGCACTCCAGCCTGGGCGACAGAGCGAGACTCCATCTCAAAAAAAAAAAAAACAAAAACAAAAACAAAAAATTCCACTTTAATCAATCTATTTCATCTATACTTTGTTCTATATCTGTTTCAGGTGTCCAAAATATATTCCCTAAGTTCTCATTGTATCAAAAAACATGTAATACAAGAGGTATTTCCACTGTTTTCTGAAGTCAGCAAAATTTCTTCTACAAAGAGGGGCCAATATGAGACCCTAGTTATAACATAATTCTAAGGGAAAGTTCAATGTCTAACAGTAATTGGAGCTACAAAGTACTAAGATAAGATTGAGACTGCCTACAAGAAAACCTGGCTCCAGGCTTATAAATGAAAAGGACCTTTGAGATCATGCTTATATAGAGAAAAGAGAGTTGAACATTTCTCAACTTGGCAAGAAGCCTTCTAATACACATGAATCTTTAAAGAACATTATGACGCAGTTGATTTGTAAGCCCTTTAAGAAAAGGACCTATGTCTTTCTCACCGTGCTATCTCCAAACTTTTTACACTGCTTGACACAGAAGGTGCTCAAAAAATATTGACTAAAAACAATAAAATAATGGAAACATTTTTGTCTCTCAGGAAACGTATTTTTAAAATGTTATACTGTAAAGCTGGCACTTAAAAAATGACTTCTCTTATAAACATCAAGTGAAACCCTTCATACACAGTATCACGGAATTAGGAAGTATAGCAGATTTATAAACTCACTTAAAATATTAAGCTCTTGAGACTTTAGCATAAATTCCTTGAATTCCTGTGATACTGTGATTACTAAAACAAAACAAAAATTGTAAGGTTATAAAATTTCATAAGAAGGATTCCACACACATATAATGTGATTATGAAAAATGATGGTTCAATGCTAGCTATTTGAGATTCATTCACTTTACTTACGCTAAAAGAAAAGGTTGTGAATATTTCCATTCAGACTTCTTTTTACTACTTTCAAATGTTTGTTTTATATTTGTTATGACATAACATTTAATGTAAGAGAGATTTAGAATGCTTGGAATATTCCTTTACAAATGGTAAGTTTTGAAACTAATGATCTGTTAAACAGAAAAACACTCAGTCTGAAATTTAAAGCTGTTGCTAGGAGGAATGTTCATTGAGACCCCTAACAGAACATGCAAATGAGGACTCAGTGTCCTATAAGTTAGTAGTATTTCCATGAAACACACTTAGGCTTCCCAGTTTCTAGAAAAGCCTCTTATCCCCTTGAAAAAAAGGAGGAAAGTATAAATGCAAGACACAGCCACTAAGAGCTGAAGCTCTAAAGCAGAGAGGTCTGGCTTCAGTCACTCTCTAGCTCTGTTATCTCTGTACTCAACGCTTCTCATTTAACAAATAAGAATAATTGTAATAATTATTCCATAAGATTGTTGAGGTGATTACATTCAAACTTGCATATAGAGTGCTTTAGCAGAGTGACAAGCACTCAATACATAGTTACTACTATGGTTATTATTAATAAACATGTCATTGATTAATCATAACCTATAGATACACATTTTCCATCACCCACAGAAATGTCTATGTGTAAATATAGGTACATGTGCATGTATGTTTCAAGAAACAATAATTATCCTAACTCCTGATACACTGTCTTTTAGTCTTCAATTTCCATTTTTTGTAAATACTGGGCTTACCTCATTAAACTGTTTTCATAACTCATTAGTAGGTAACAATTCATAGATCCAAAATAGAGTCAGGAAATCACATTCTTACTTCTGAAGAAAGGATAGGTAATATTTGTATTAATAATTACAACTAATTGATACCATCTTAGATATATTTCTGAATTGTGATCTTTCAATTCTTTACACATTTGTTATTACTCTTTATTTCAGTTTCATGAAGAAATCAGGCATGGCCACTAAGTGCCATGCAATGAAAAATTGTTACTAATAATTATTGTAATAGCTATGCATTATTAATATTTATAGAAAAGAAATAATGTGAAAAGCCTTAAATAATTATAACCATTTTTATAACAATTAGTCAGAAAAATAATTATTTACTATCAATTTTGGAAGAAGAGGTCAGAACAAATGATAAAGCATCTGCATGTATATGAGAGAGCATATGTGAACAGTTAGTGACAGAGGAAAAAGCGACAGAGAAGTAGACAAAATATATAAGCATAAAAAAAAATGAATGAGAAGGAGGAGAGAAGGAAGGAAAGAAGAAAGGAGAAGAAAAGAGAGAAACCACACTAAGAAAAAGATGGTTACAAATGAGAGAAAATTGGAAAATGAAGAATATGGTAACAGACGTTTTTAGGTAAGGAGAAAGACTCTCGTTAGATAATGTTCTTTTTAGTAAGGCAGTGACAAAGTCTTTTGTCAGGCAGTTTACAAGCTTTAAAGCAAGACACTTATTTGGAAACTAAGACCAATAATGAAACACTTCATTCTCTCTAATAGATTCCTCAAAGTTCACCCTATTTATAGCTGTTATAGAAAATATACAATATATACAA
Organism: Homo sapiens; assembly: GCF_000001405.40. Lineage (NCBI taxonomy): Eukaryota > Metazoa > Chordata > Mammalia > Primates > Hominidae > Homo > Homo sapiens. The sequence goes on from NC_000007.14 coordinate 144,750,263, forward strand.
TTCAGGTGCATATGATGATATAGAAGAGAATTTAGTTGTCATTAAATATCAAATCTATATACCCTCGGTTGGCAGCATAGCATGACTTCCACTAGCTGACTTGGTAAGCCTGTTCACGAATGAGAGATGGTAAGGAAAGTAAAGGGATAATTCAGGCTGACTATTCAGATGCTAGAAAAGATAGAGAAGTGAGAGGGTAGGGAATTACCATAGGATAAATATTATCACTAAAATCAGGGTCAGAATAAAAGCAGATAGCAACCAATATACTATGAAAATTGGTATAGACTAAATATCTGAATGCAGTAATAAAAATTAGGAGCAGAATCAGTAAGTATGGAAGAACAGGAGATGATGATCTACCAGCCAAAGAGAGAAATGTATGATCCTGAAACACTGAAGGTGGAACAGTTTTCCAGGAAGATATCCAAATTCCACATAGGAGGTACTGGCTGGTAGCTAAAATGGACTAGGGGATCAGGAAACTATGGACTATGTGCCAAAATCCACTCCTCTACCTATTTTTGCAAATAAAATGCTTTTAGAACACAGCATCTTTTGTTTCCTGACTTTTTAATGATTGCCATTTTAACTGGTGTGAGATGGTTTCTCATTGTGGTTTTGATTTCATTTCTCTAATGACCAGTGATGATGAATTTTTTCATATATTTGTTGGCTGCATAAATGTCTTCTTTTGAGAAGTGTCTGTTCATATCCGTCACCCACATTTTGATCGGGTTGTTTTTTTCTTTTTAATTTAAGTTCCTTGTAGATTCTGGATATTAGCCCTTTGTCAGATGGATAGATTGCAAAAATTTTCTCCCATTCTGTAGGTTGCCTGTTCACTCTGACAGTTTCCTTTGTTGTGCAAAAGCTCTTTGGTTTAATTAGATCCCATTTGTCAATTTTGGCTTTTCTTGCCATTGCTTTTGCTGTTTTAGTCATGAAGTCTTTGCCCAGGCCTATGTCCCGAATGGTATTGCCTAAGTTTTCTTCTAGGGTTTCTATGATTTTAGGTCTAACATTTAAGTCTTTAATCCATCTTGAGTTAATTTTTGTATAATGTGTAAGGAAGGGGTCCAGTTTCAGTTTTCTGCCATATGGTTAGCCAGTTTTCCCAATACCATTTATTAAACAGGGAATCCTTTCCCCATTGCTTGTTTTTGTCAGGTTTGTCAAAGATCAGATGGTTGTACATGTGTGGCGTTATTTCTGAAGCCTCTGTTCTGTTCTCTTGGTCTATATCTCTTTTTTGGTACCATTACCATCCTGTTTTGGTTACCATAGCCTTGTAGTATAGTTTGAAATCAGGCAGTGTGATGCCTCCAGCTTTGTTCCTTTTGCTTAGGATTGTCTTGGCTATACAAGCTTTTTTAGTTCCATATAAAATTTAAAGTAGTTTTTTTTTCTAATTCTGTGAAGAAAGTCAATGGCAGCTTGCTGGGGATAACACTGAATCTATAAATTACTTTGGGCAGTATGGCCATTTTCACGATATTGATTCTTCCTATCCATGAGCATGGAATGTTTTTCCATTTGTTTCTCTTTGATTTCCTTGAGCAGTGGTTTGTAGTTCCCCTTGAAGCGGTCCTTCAAATTCCTTCTAAGTTGTACTCCTAGGTATTTTATTCTCTTTGTAGCAATTGTGAATGGGAGTTCACTCATGGTTTGGCTATTATCAGTGCATAGGGATGCTTGTGATTTTTGCACATTGATTTTGTATCCTGAGACTTTGCTGAAGTTACTTATCAACTTAAGGAGATTTTTGGGCTAAGACGACGAGGTTTTCTAAATATACAATCATTTCATCTGCAAACAGACAATTTGACTTCCTCTCTTCCTATGTGAATAGTCTTTATTTCTTTCTCTTGCCTGATTGCCCTGGCCAGAACTTCCAATGCTATGTTGAACAGGAGTGGTGAGAGTGGGCATCCTTGTCTTTTGCCAGTTTTCAAAGGGAATGCTTCCAGCTTTTGCCCATTCAGTATGATATCGGCTGTGGGTCTGTCATAAATAGCTATTATTTTGAGATACGTTCCATCAATACCTAGTTTGTTGAGAGTTTTTAGCATGAAGGGCTGTTGAATTTTGTCAAAGGCCTTTTCTGCATCTATTGAGATAATCATATGGCTTTTGTCATTGGTTCTGTTTATGTGATGGATTACGTTTATTGATTTTTGTCTGCTGAACCAGCCTTAGATCCCAGGGATAAAGCCGACTTGATCGTGGTGGATAAGCTTTTTGATGTGCTGCTGGATTCAGTTTGCCAGTATTTTATTGAGGATTTTTGCACTGATGTTCATCAGGAATACTGGCCTGAAATTTTCTTTTTTTGTTGTGTCTCTGCCAGGTTTTTGTATCAGAATGATGCTGCCCTCATAAAATGATTTAGGGAGGAGTCCCTCTTTTTCTATTGTTTGGAATAGTTTCAAAAGGAATGGTACCAGCTCCTCTTTGTACCTCTGGTAGAATTCGGCTGTGAATCCATCTGGTCCTGGACTTACTTTGGTTGGTAGGCTATTAATTACTGCCTCAATTTCAGAACTTGTTATTGGTCTATTCAGGGATTCGACTTCTTCCTGGTTTAGTCTTGGGAGGGTGTATGTGTCCAGGAATTTATCCTTTTCTTCTTGATTTTCTAGTTTATTTGCATAGAGGTGTTTACAGTATTCTCTGATGGTAGTTTCTATTTCTGTGGGATCAGCGGTGATATCCCCTTTATCATGTTTTATTGGGTCTATTTGATTCTTCTCTCTTTTCGTCTTTGTTACTCTGGCTAGTGATCTATTTTATTAATCTTTTCAAAAAACCAGCTCCTGTATTCACTGATTTTTTGAAGGGTTTTTTTGTGTCGCTATCTCCTTCAGTTCTGCTCTGATCTTAGTTATTTCTTTTCTTCTGCACTAGCTTTTGAATTTGTTTGCTCTTGCTTCTCTAGTTCTTTTAATTGTGATGTTAGGGTGTCGATTTTAGATGTTTCCTGCTTTCTTCTGTGGGCATTTAGTGCTATAAATTTCCCTCTAAACACTGCTTTAGCTGTGTCCCAGAGATTCTGGTATGTTGTGTCTTTGTTCTCATTGGTTTCAAATAACTTTTTTATTTCTGCCTTAATTTCATTATTTACCAGTCATTCAGGAGTAGGTTATTCAGTTTCCATGTAGTTGTGCAGCTTTGAGTGAGTTTCTTGATCCTGAGTTCTAATTTGATAGAACTGTGGTCTGAGAGACTGTTTATTATTTCTGTTCTTTTGCGTTTGCTGAGGAGCGTTTTACTTCCAATTATACGGTCAGTTTTAGAGTAAGTATGATGTGGCACTGAGAAGAATGTATATTCTGTTGATTAGAGATGGAGGGTTCTGTAGATGTCTATTAGGTCTGCTTGGTCCAGAGTTGAGTTCAAGTCCTGAATATGCTTGTTAATTTTCTGTCTCATTGATCTGTCTAATGTTGACAGTGGGGTGTTAAAGTCTCCCACTATTATTGTGTGGGAGTGTAAGTCTCTTTGGAGGTCTCCAAGAACAGGCTTTATAAATCTGGGTGCTCCTGTATTGGGGGTATATATATTTAGGATAGTTAGTTCTTCTTGTTATGTTGATCCCTTTACCATTATCTAATGCCCTCCTTTGTTTATTTTAATCTTTGTTGGTTCAAAGTCTGTTTGATCACAGACAAGGATTGCAATCCCTGCTTTTTTTTCTTCTTCCATTTGCTTGGTAAATATTCCTCCATACCTTTATTTTGAGCCTATGTGTGTCTCTGCAAGTGAGATGGGTCTCCTGAATACAGCACACTGATGGGTCTTGACTCTTTATCCAATTTGCCAGTCTGTATCTTTTAATTGGGGCATTTAGCCCATTTACATTTAAGGTTAATATTGTTATGTGTGAATTTGATCCTGTCACTATGATGCTAGCTGGTTATTTTGCCCATTACTTGATGCAGTTTCTTCATAGTGTCAATGGTCTTTATATTTTGGTATGTTTTTGCAGTGGCTGGTACCGGCTTTTCCTTTCCATATTTAGTGCTTCCTTCAGGAGCTCTTGTAAGGCAGGCCTGGTGGGATTTGGTACAGCTGATTTTGCACTATAACAGCAGAGTTGAAGAGTTGTGACAGAGACCACATGGCCTGCAGGGCCTAAAATATCTACTATCTGGCTCTTCACAGAAAAACTTTGCCTCCCTCCTTGTCTATGAGCTGAGGGCATAATCATGTAAGCCTTAACACTAACATTCAAGTCACCAAACATACATATGCCTGGCACATACTACACAAATATTTACACTGTTTGAATTATCTGCTTGAGTTTAATTCCCAGCTTTTCCATTTACTAGAACTGTGAATGAAAACTGGCCATTCAATCTTACAGTGCCTCAGTCTACTCATCTGTAGAATGAGGATGATAATGGTATTGATCTCACAAGAGTGACAAAGGATTAAGTTAGTTAATCATGCAAAGCTCTTAGAGCACTACTTGGCACATGATAATTACTATCTGTGTGCTGGCTACTGTTAAATATAGTAGGTTCATAATAGTCATTAGTCGAATGCTGGATGAATTAACTAATGAATTAATATATTTGAGAGATAAATTCTAAGACAGTAATTTACTGAAAAACATGGTGGTAGTTAATGGTAAGAAGCTTGTAGATGAAGTAAATTCAAAAAAGAAGATATATCATTTAATTGTGATAGAGGAATATGACCAGAAGTGGCACTAAACACAAAGATTAAGTCATTCCATCTCGTCTGAGTGAATCCTGGGAAAGAAGGTAGCACAGGGCTTCTTAAAAATCTCACAATATTTGTATGACAATACCTAAATTGATTAAATATTGATTTCAATAGAAATGGGCCATCATTTGGGGGATGGGAATAGAATTTACCTCTGGCCTCATATAAAGAAATATGTATTTTCATCTGTACCACCCATATATTAAAATGTCTTATATATTTAAATAATCTTTCTGCAGTCCCCCATATATTTTTGTGTGACTGAGATACATCGTTTCTGACAGCCTTATTTACAGAAACTACAGCTTGTACATAACTGTTTTGTTCAATGGACCTGAACCAAGTATGCAAATTGCTCATCAGATCTTTGGCTCAATGTTCACTTAAATGTGCTCAAAGCATAAGTTCTATGAAACACTAAACACAGAAACAGACACAAATAATGTCAATTTGGTACTTTAATACAACTATAATAGCTGAACTATTACAGAATTCCAATTCTAATGACTAAAGCTACTCAATACCAGAACAGATGCCTCCGAGATCATCCTAACTGAAATTCAGATACCCTTTTAAAGCCCAGCATTTTCCAGGTGAAGTGACCTCCTGCATCTCTGCCTGGGTGCATTTAAATGATAAAAACGTACATGGTAGTCTGCCTGTTCATGTACTCGTAATGAGCAAATCCCTAACAGCTACATTCGTGACAACTACTTAGATAACAAAGAAGCTTTACCTAAAGGTATCACTATTTTACTTCCACAGAGATTCTGCCACTAGATATGCCAGAGTGCACACTATTCAGTTCTTTTAAACATGTTCAAAAATAGAATATGTCTTCTCCCCACAGTTCCTCTTCTACCAGCATAAACAAGTGTTTCAGCCCATGGTTTCTCCCATGTCACCCCATTCAATTTGTTCCAAACATCACCTGTAAACTCTGAACATAGAAAGAACGTAGACCAGACTTTCAAATGTGTCTCCCAGTGAATTGGAGGAGAGCATGGTTTTTTTTTTTTCTAATTATACTTTAAGTTGTAGGGTACATGTATACAACATGCAGGTTTGTTACATATGTATACATGTGCCTTGTTGGTGTGCTGTACCCATTAACTCGCCATTTACAGTAGGTATTTCTCCTAATGCTATCCCTCCCCACTCCCCCAACCCTACGACAGGCCCCCGTGAGTGATGTTCCCCACCCTGTGTCCAAGTGTTCTCATTGTTCAATTCCCACCTATGAGTGAGAACATGCGGTGTTTGGTTTCCTGTCCTTGTGATAGTTTGCTCAGAATGATGGTTTCCAGCTTCATCCATGTCCCTACAAAGGACATGAACTCATCCTTTTTTATGGTTGCATAGTATTCCATGGTGTATATGTGCCACATTTTCTTTAATCCAGTCTATCACTGATGGACATTCGGGTTGGTTCCAAGTCTTTGCTATTGTGAATAGTGCCGCAATAAACATATGTGTGCATGTGTCTTGATAGCAGCATGATTTACAATCCTTTATACCCAGTAATGGGATTGCTGGGTCAAATGGTATTTCTAGTTCTAGATCCTTGAGGAATCGCCACACTGACTTCCACAATGGTTGAACTAGTTTACTGTCCCACCAACAGTGTACAAGTGTTCTTATTTCTCCACATCCTCTCCAGAACCTATTGTTTCCTGACTTTCTAATGATCACCATTCTAACTGGTGTGAGATGGTATCTCATTGTGGTTTTGATTTGCATTTCTCTGATGGCCAGTGATGATGAGCATTTTTTCATGTGTCTCTTGGCTGCATAAATGTCTTCTTTTGAGAAGTGTCTGTTCATATCCTTCGCCCACTTTTTGATGGGGTTGTTTTTTTTCTTGTAAATTTGTTTAAGTTCTTTGTAGATTCTGGATATTAGCCCTTTGTCAGATGGGTAGATTGCAGAAATTTTCTCCCATTCTGTAGGTTGCCTGTTCACTCTGTTGGCAGTTTCCTTTGCTGTGCAGAACCTCTTTAGTTTAATCAGATCCCATTTGTCAATTTTGGCTTTTGTTGCCATTGCTTTTGGTGTTTTAGTCATGAAGTCCTTGCACATGCATATGTCCTGAGTGGTGTTGCCTAGGTTTTCTTCTAGGGTTTTTACGGTTTTATGTCTAAAATTTAAGTTTTTTTGTTTTTTTGTTTTTTGGTTTTTGTTTTTTGATATGGAGTCTCGCTCTGTCGCCCAGGCTGGAGTGCAGTGGCATGATCTCAGCTCACTACAAGCTCCGCCTCCTGGGTTCACGCCATTCTCCTGTCTCAGCCTCCTGAGTAGCTGGGCCTATAGGCACCCGCCACCATGCCCGGCTAATTTTTTGTATTTTTAGTAGAGACAGGGTTTCACCATGTTAGCCAGGATGGTCTCGATCTCCTGACCTTGTGATCTGCCCACCTCGGCCTCCCAAAGTGCTGGGATTACAGGCATGAGCCACCGCGCCTGGCCTAACATTTAAGTCTTTAATCCATCTTGAATTAATTTTTGTATAAGGTGTAAGGAAGGGATCCAGTTTCAGCTTTCTACATATGGCTAGCCAGTTTTCCCAGCACCATTTATTGAACAGGGAATCCTTTCCCTATTTCTTGTTTTTGTCATGTTTGTCAAAGATCAGATGGTTGTAGATGTGTGCTATTATTTCTGAGGGCTCTGTTCTGTTCCGTTGGTCTACATCTCTGTTTTGGTACCAGTACCATGCTGTTTTGGTTACTGTAGCCTTGTAGCATAGTTTGAAGTTAGGTAGCGTGATGGGAGGAGAGCATGTTATATCCCCTCATGATCTTTTCTGTGCCATGGACGTTTCTTTCCATGGACCCCAAAGCAGCTATCACTGTAAAACTGAGAGCTCAAAAGTCTCAGTTGCCCCCAAGAACTAGGACTATTAAAAAAGTTCAAGTTATTTTTTAATGTATAATCACACACAAATGCTCAGTGTAAACGTTCTTTAATTTACCTATATTCAATTAAATGGCATGATCTTAAAAATAAGATTCTAGAAGGAATCAATCTTGGAACAAATTATTACAAAAGAGAAGCAACATGGAATGACAATTTAAATATATATAGGAGGAACAATAATATACATCTAACATATAACATTATGTAGAGCTTATAGTAGGGCAGGGCAAAAATATCTGTTTCTGTGTATTACTATACACTACGCAATGTGGGAAAAAACGAAGGTGAACCCCACCATGTTTCTCTGGCTGTTTTCCCAAGCCTACATTTTCAGATGTCTTTAAAACTAACTGATTAAATGTATATTACAAGTGAAATAGAAAGAAAAAAAAAAAGAAACACCACCAAGGAGAAAAGACCTTAATTACTGCATAACAAATATATTACCAGGAAAGTAAATATTTGTTAAAAATGAAGATGTCTGTGTTTCAGTAAAGGGCATTTGAGACCCAAGCATTTTGATTGGGAGAATGATACCACACCTTCTAAAGAACTGGGCACCAACAACTATAAGAAAATAAATGCAAAATGTTGACTTCACCTCTAGTAAATTGTCTGTTTTGAAGTTCCACTTATATTTTCTAGTTTTATGTAATAGCCTACCACCTGGTTAGTATAAAAATAGAATTCTTTGTGTTTTTTTAAATTTTAATTTCTTTCACTAAAGGTACAGCATCACAAAGATACTACTTAGCCTCTCTAGCAAGGATAATTATTAGCAATGAGTTTAAACTCCTCAAATTATCCACACACCAGGCCCACTTCACTGAAGCAAACAAAAGATAAAACTGTGTGTCTGTTTGTGTTTGTGTATCTGTGTGTGTATACACATGCAAGTGAATTAAACATGGAGCAAACAATCAAAAAACATACATAAAATGTTGAATGTTAAAAAAGAAAACATAAGTAGCCATACAAACTTGGCAGTCATTTTCTGGATACATTAAAAATTGACATACAAATTGGACAGAGATCTAAATGGCATAAAGAATGAAGTAAAACAGGCAGTTGAAATGCCTATACTAACTGCCATGAAGCACACAGAGTCACATGGTCTTACAATCACCAATTCAGGGGCATCTTTCTATTTAGTAGTAGGATTTCACTTATTACCCTGTTAGAAATTACATTTAAAAATCATTTCATGAGAAATAATGAAAAGTAAAATTAAAAGCATAAAACAAAGATAATGACAGAAATAATAGTTCATGGGTCTGGGCATGGTGGCTCACACTTGTAATCCCAGCACTTTGCGAGGCCAAGGTGGGCAGATCACTTGAGGTCAGGAGTTTGAGACCAGCCTGGCCTACATGGCGAAACCCCATCTCTACTAAAAATACAAAAATTAGCTGAGTGTGGTGGTGGGTGCCTGTAATCCCAGCTACTGAGGAGGCTGAGGCAGGAGAATCACTTGCATCCAGGAGGTGGAGGTTGCAATGAGCCGAGATCGTGCCATTGCACTCCAGCCTGGGCAATAAGAGCAAAACTCCATCTCAAAAAAGAAAAAAGAAAAAAAAAACATATATATATATATATATATATATATATATATGGTTAATGGGGACTGACATTTTTAAACCAAACTGTGAGGTTTTAACTTTTAAAAATGCACACATGGTTCTATAATTAAAGATGAAAAATCTAAGGAAAAACTAAAGAATTTACATTTATGAAAATAAGGTTAATGGCTGGGCACAGTGGCTCATTCCTATCATCTCAGCACTCTGGGAAGCCGAGGCAGGAGGATCACTTGAGGCCACAAGTTTGAGACCAGCCTGGACAACATAGGGAGACCCCACCTCTACAAAAAATAAAAAATTAGCTGGGTATGTGGTGCACGCCTGTAGTCCTAGCTACTCAGGAGGCTGAGGTGGGAGGAGTGCTTGAGCTCATGACGTCATGACTGCAGTGAGCTGTGATCATGCCACTGTACTCCAGCCTAGGTCACAGAGTGAGACCGTGTCTCAAAAATAAATAAATAAATAAGTTAATCTACAGTTCTCATAAACAAGTTATTTAACAAAAAGGACCCAATATATGACTAATCTCTTTAGACAATAATGTCAGAAGACAATGGTACTGCTAACTTATATATCCTTCTATAATTAAAAGAGGCACCCTACCATAATATCTTAATAGACAAAGAAGATATATTCGAATGCTACATTTACTGGCATCTTAACTGTCAAAGGCATGAAACCAAAAAGGCAAAAAAAAAAAAAATACATTTTTGCACATGCACTATAACGAAAGAAGGAGAGAGTAATGAAAATATCAGTTCTGATTGGGTGTACCAGGAAATATCAAATAAGTACAGAGGAGTCATAGAGCAGAGAAAAAAAATGTGAGTGACAAAGCTCAAGTTTAGCAGAATTAGAAAAGGGACTCAACTGAGACTGAAGACCAAAGAGGAATCTGGGGAAAAAGAGAGAAAGAGAGTGCATGAGGAGGCGCAAGCATGTGCCTGCAGCCTGCTAACTGGTCCACATCAGCGCAAGAGGATTTCCAGGACCTGTCTTTGGCTGCATCAAAGACAGGCAGTGACCTTCCCCAATTGTCAGGATGACCCACAACGGCTACCAGGCCAGTCTCACAAGAACTAAGAAAACACCATCAGCTAAGCACTTTGCATCCATTTTCAAGAAGTTCATCCTCAAGGAAAGATAAGGTGACATTTGAGAAAATCTATCTCTACCTGGGGAAGCTAAGGAAGTTTTCAGAAGAGGTGGCATTTGAGTTGGACCTTAAAGGATGGGTGAAAGTCTGCAATATAAATAAGTAAAAGTCTATTTTCCGCAGGAAAAAAGTAAATGGCAGTTCTATTTAGATTAATCATTAAATACACAGGAAGAGGTAGCCATAGAGATGAGGCCAAAGGAAAAAATTATGTTGGATATACATTCTTGGGGGGACTGGCCCTTCCAGGGTCAGCTTAAAGAAATCACCTTAAGGTGATTTCAAAATTTCAAAGTTATCATCAAAAAACATGTTTCCCTTAAAATTCCTCTAACAGGAATAGTGCATACAATAGATGAAACAGGATTAAAATAGCAACTGATACCAAGCACATTAAAGCATAACTATCTATTCAACCAATCTACACGTAAAAGTGACAGGTATCTGATTTCTCTATTTTAATGAGAAAAAAACACAGAAGACACCAAAACTGAGATAAATAGGTCCCACTAAATAGAGAAATAAGAATGAAAAAGGAAAGATAAAGGAAAACTTTAATATAAAGTTTATAGGATAGAAAACTTTAATATAAAGTTTATAGGATAGAAAACTTTATATAATATAAAGTTGGTTGTGTTTAACTTAAAATAATCAAGTGAAAACCTCAAGGCTTACATAAAAGCCTGGGGTACATAATTTAAGAAGGAAAGAGTTTGTCACAAAAAAACTACAATTGAAATAAGGTGCTTTATAGCAGATTTCTAC